>NC_000022.11:34467139-34618654 GCF_000001405.40 Homo sapiens | reverse complement strand
TGTTTCTATCCTTTCTGTCTTGACCATGATGTGGTGTCTGAAATTTCAGCAGGAATCTTACAATCATGAGACAACAAAGCAAAATGCTAATAGATAAAGTAGAAAGATGATGGAAATCTGAACACTTTATGGCACCCAGGAACCAACACTCCAGCCATGGACTGCCCACCCACAACAGAAGACGCACAGTCTTCTTGCTGTGAGACTGAAATCAGAACCTACGCTTGTTAGTTACAGGTGGAAACACCTCATATGTGAAGGGAGACTCTATACTGAGTCTAGGGAGAGAAGCAGAAAAAAGATGGGTAGAGGAAGCTATGCATCACAGTAGAAGGCAGAAGACCAGGTTATAGAAATGGTTGCAGCACCATTTTCCCTCCATACTATTTTCCCTTTTAGTTTGGAGGTTATTTACATTATTCCTTTTATGTAAGAATTATCCTTGACATTTTAATATGCATCCTTAATAAGTCTAAAGTTAATCAAAATCTTTACTCTCCTCCTGAAAATCGTAAGGACCTTAGAACACCTTAAGTCGTCTGATGACCTCCTTCCTTGTTTGTATGCCTTTGTTATCACTTTATTTCTATCTTTTTTTTTTTTTTTTCCTGAGACAGGTTACTCTGCCAGGCAGGCTGGAGCCCAGTGGCTCAATCTTGGGCTCACTGCAACCTCCACCTCCTGGCCTCAAGTCATCCTCATGCCTCAGCCTCCCAAGTAGCTGGGACTATAAGCGTGTGCCACCATGCCCAGCTAATTTTTGCATTTTTTGTAGACAGGATTTTATCATGTTGCCCAGGCTGGTCTCAAACTTCTGAGCTCACCCAATCCTCTTGCTTCGGCCTCCCAGAGGGCTGGGATTACAGGCATGAGCCACCTTGCCCAGCCCTAACTTGTTTTTTAACCCTTAAATTATCCTCTCCCCAGTCTCTCAATTAGGTCCTCCGATAACACTCCAGTTAACATACAATTAAATGCCTCTCTGTCCTCTATGCTTCTTCACATTTCCTCTATGATTTGTGTTGATTTATCTCTGTGCTACATTCTATTTTATTTCCTCAGATTTATCTTATGATTTTTAAAGTCCCTGTTTTTTTTACTTTTTTTAGCATATCTATTTATCTGTCTAATCTGCCTATTGAAGTTTTTTTACTTTTAATGCAGTCAATGTGTTGCTTAATGATGGGGATTTATTCTGAGAAATGCATTGTTAGGCAATTTTGTTATTGTGTGATCATCATGGAGTGTACTTACACACATCTAGCTGGTATATGCTATATGGTATGACCTGTTTCTTCTAGGCTACAAACTTGTATGACATGTGACTGTACTGAATACTGTAGGCAGTTGTAACACATGTATCTAAACGTAGAAAAGGTACAATACAAATATGTTATAAACCATTCTTTTTTTTTTTTTGAGACGGAGTCTCGCTCTGTCGCCCAGGCTGGAGTGCAGTGGCGCGATCTCGGCTCACTGCAAGCTCCACCTCCCGGGTTCACGCCATTCTCCTGCCTCAGCCTCCCGAGTAGCTGGGACTACAGGCGCCCGCTACCATGCCTGGCTAATTTTTCTGTATTTTTAGTAGAGACGGAGTTTCACAGTGTTAGCCAGCATGGTCTCAATCTCCTGACCTCGTGATCCGCCCGTCTCAGCCTCCCAAAGTGCTTCGATTACAGGCGTGAGCCACCGCGCCCGGCATAAACCATTTTTAAAATGGTACGTTTATATAGGTCACTTACCATGAGTGGAGCTTGCAGGACTGGAAATTGCTCTGGGTGAGTCAGTGAGGGAGTGGTGAGCAGATATGAAGATCTAGGACATTACTGTACACTATTTTAGACTTTATAAACATTGTGTATTTAGGTTACACGAAATTTATTTAAAACTGCTTCTTATTCAGTAATAAATTAGGCCAGCGCAGTGGCTCACGCCTGTAATCCCAGCACTTTGGGAGACCGAGACAGGCGGATCATGAGGTCAGGAGTTCGAGACCAGCCTGGCCAACACAGTGAAACACCGTATCTACTAAAAGCACAAAAATTAGCCAGGCATGATGGCAGGTGCCTGTAATCCCAGCTACTAAGGAGGCTGATGCAGGAGAACTGCTTGAACCCAGGAGGCATAGGTTGCAGTAAGCTGAGATCATGCCATTGCACTCCAGCCTGGGTGACAGAGCGAGATTCTGTCTCAAAATAAATAAATAAATAAAATAATAATTATTATAATAAATTAACCTTAGCTTACTGGAACTCTTTACACACTTTCAAATTTTTTAAACTTTTGACTCTTTTGTTTTAACACAGCTAAAAACACATATTGTGCAGGTGTACAAAAATATCCTTTCTTTAAATCCTTATTATATAAGCTTTTTTTTCTATTTTTTAACTTTCTAAACTTTTTTGTTAAAGACTAAAACAGAAACACACACATTAGTCTAGGCCTCCACAGGGTCAGGCTCATCAATATCACTGTCTTCCACCTCCACATCTTGTCCCACTGGAAGGGCTTCAGAGGCGATAACATGCATGGAGCTGTCATCTCCTGTGATAACAGTGCCTTCTTCTGGAATACCCCCTGAAGGACCTACCTGAGGCTGTTTTACAGTTAACTTATTTATTTTGTAATTAGAATGAGTACACTGTAAAATAGTGATAAAAATAGTAAATACATAAACCAGTAAGATAACCATTTGTTATCATCAAATATTATATACTGTACATAATCCTATGTGCTATGCTCTTATACAACTGGCAGTGCTGTAGGCTTGTTTATATGTGCATCCCCACAAAAATGTGAATGATGCATTGTGCCATGACGTAGCTAGGCAATAGGAAGTTTTCAGTGCCATTATAATGTTACGGGCCCACTGTTGTACATGCAGTCTGTCATCAACTGAAATGTTGTTTTGTGGCACACGAGTGTATTACATTCTTTGGGTTTCTTCAAAACCTGGTTCTCTTGCAAATATACCTAGTCATTTCTGTTCATCTCTTCTTCCTCACTTATACTTTCTATTCCTTCCTATTTCCTTAATCATGTTAAACATATTATTTTATAGGAAATTCAGAGTGCAGGATAGGAACAAAAGTCAATCTTTCAGACTTAAAGAGCAGAGTGCCCCTTGCTGACGTATTGGTCATGCTTAGAATCATGGAAGTAGAACTGGATTATAAATAAATATATATATATATGTGTGTGTGTGTGTGTGTGTGTGTGTGTGTGTGTGTGTGTGTGTGTATGTGTATATATATCTCCATGTAGTGTGTCGTCTTCTTACTATATAGCTTACTGTATAGCTAGTAATAAGACACCACATGCAGTATTTCCAAATCCCTACTTCTCCAGGGATGATAAGCCCTTTATTTTTCTGAATTTAACAGATTAAAAGGAATTGGCTCCTTTATCCCACAAGATCTCTGTGAGAAGAGTGATATGGTATGTGATAATATCCTCATTATGCAGATGGTACCTAAGGAGCTCTGGGAGTTTAAGTGACTTACCCAGATCACAAGCTCTGAAAGTTGGGGTGGAAGTTCAATGCAGGACTTCTGAGGCCAAATGCACTTTTTTTTTTTTTAACACATATCCTCATTTCCTCCTGAGATCTTGCTGTTCCTTCACCCATCCCTATTCCTGAGCAAGAATTCTAATTTTATGATCAGTTGCCAGCTGCTGATTTATTTTGGAAGCAAGGATTGGCTGTAATTGGATGCTGCCTGGTGCACATTCTAGGAATGGCACAAATTAGAAAACTAAGATGGGTCAAGGGGACAAGATCTTAATGAAGGAGGCATAAAGAAGGCTCCTCATTTGGAAGAGAAAGTGCAAGTGTGTTTGGGTGGGCAGCCAGCTGGATTCAGTCTTGGGTTTGCTGTGTCGTTTGCTGATTTGGGGAGATAAGTTGGGGCACACAGCTCTGGGAAATGTGACAGAGGTGATTTCTCCAAGGCTCTGCCTCATCAGAGTCCAGGTGAAAAGCATTGAATCTGCCACTATAGGGCTTGCACTTGCTCCAGCTCTGGGTGCTGCCGGCTGGAACCTGGTTTTGAGGCATCGCCCTTGGATCTGCGCAGATTCAATGTGGATTCTGAGGCTCATATTCAGAGAGAAGGGATCATCAAGAGCATAAACAGAACTGGCATTCTAGCAGCATAGAAACAGCATGGGGCATAAAGTGTAAGCCATTTGCATTCTAGTTCTGACTCATTAACTTAATTTATTTTTCCAACAAATATTTACTCAGGTCTTACTCTGCATCAGAGACTGTGCTGGGTGTGAGGATACAGTGTTGGGCTGGATCAGACAGAGCATTCTGCTCTCAAATAACGCCTTGAGCACATCCTGTAAAAATAGCAGTGATTACTCCGTACCAGGCACCTGTGTCAGGTTATTTTCCAGTAACTAGACCTCACAACAATTATATGAGGAAAGAAGATGTCACTTATGAAAACTGAAATGTGGAAAGGCTGCACAGTTTGCCCCAAATCCAGTAATCAGTAAATGGCAGAGCGAGGATTCAAACTTAAATCTGTTTTGTGCTAGTTTTCAAAGGGAATGCTTCCAGTTTTTGCCCATTCAGTATGATATTGGCTGTGGGTTTGTCACAAATAGCTCATATTATTTTGAGATACGTCCCGCCAATACCTAATTTATTGAGAGTTTTTAGCATGAAGCGTTGTTGAATTTTGTCAAAGGCCTTTTCTGCATCTATTGAGATAATCATGTGGTTTTTGTCGTTGGTTCTGTTTATATGCTGGATTACGTTTATTGATTTGCGTATGTTGAACCAGTCTTGCATCCCAGGGATGAAGCCCACTTGATCATAGTGGATAAGCTTTTTGATGTGCTGCTGGATTCGGTTTGCCATTTTTATTGAGGATTTTTGCATCGATGTTCATCAGGGATATTGGTCTAAAATTCTCTTTTTTTGTTGTGTCTCTGCCAGGCTTTGGTATCAGGATGATGCTGGACTCATAAAATGGGATGCCCTCTCTCACCACTCCTATTCAACATAGTGTTGGAAGTTCTGGCCAGGGCAATCAGGCAGGAGAAGGAAATAAAGGGTATTCAATTAGGAAAAGAGGAAGTCAAATTGTCCCTGTTTGTAGATGACATGATTGTATATCTAGAAAACCCCATCGTCTCAGCCTCAAATCTCCTTAAGCTGATAAGCAACCTCAGCAAAATCTCAGGATACAAAATCAGTGTGCAAAAATCACAGGCATTCTTATACACCAATAACAGACAAACAGAGAGCCAAATCATGAGTGAACTCCCATTCACAATTGTTTCAAAGAGAATAAAATGCCTAGGAATCCAACTTACGAGGGATGTGAAGGAACTCTTCAAGGAGAACTACAAACCACTGCTCAACGAGATAAAAGAGGACACAAACAAATGGAAGAACATTCCATGCTCATGGGTAGGTAGAATAAATATCGTGAAAATGGCCATACTGCCCAAGGTAATTTATAGATTCAATGCCATCCCCATCAAGCTACCAATGATTTTCTTCACAGAATTGGAAGAAACTACTTTAAAGTTTATATGGAACCAAAAAAGAGCCCACATTGCCAACTCAGTCCTAAGCCAAAAGAACAAAGCTGGAGGCATCACACTACCCAACTTCAAACTATACTACAAGGCTACAGTAACCAAAACAGCATGGTACGGGTACCAAAACAGAGATATAGACCAATGAAACAGAACAGAGTCCTCAGAAATAATGCCACACATCTGCAACTATCTGATCTTTGACAAACCTGACAAAAACAAGAAATGGGGAAAAGATTCCCTATTTAATAAATGATGCTGGGAAAACTGGCTAGCCATATGTAGAAAGCTGAAACTGGATCCTTTCCTTACACCTTATACAAAAATTAATTCAAGATGGATTAAAGACTTAAACATTAGACCTAAAACCATAAAAATCCTAGAAGAAAACCTAGGCAATACCATTCAGGACATAGGCATGGGCAAGGACTCTACAACACCAAAAGCAATGGCAACAAAAGCCAAAATAGACAAACAGGATCTAATTAAACTAAAGAGCTTCTGCACAGCAAAAGAAACTACCATCAGAGTGAACAGGCAACCTACAGAATGGGAGAAAATTTTTGCAACCTACTCATCTGACAAAGGGCTAATATCCAGAATCTACAAAGAACTCAAACAAATGTACAAGAAAAAAACAAACAACCCCATCAACAAGTGGGCAAAGGATATGAACAGACACTTCTCAAAAGAAGACATTTATGCAGCCAAAAGACACATGAAAAAATGCTCATCATCACTGGCCATCAGAGAAATGCAAATCAAAACCACAATGAGATACCATCTCACACCAGTTAGAATGGCGAACATTAACAAGTCAGGAAACAACAGGTGCTGGAGAGGATGTGGAGAAATAGGAACACTTTTACACTGTTTGTCGGACCGTAAACTAGTTCAACCATTGTGGAAGTCAGTGTGGCGATTCCTTAGGGATCTAGGACTAGAAATACCATTTGACCCAGCCATCCCATTACTGGGTATTTACCCAAAGGATTATAAATCATGCTGCTATAAAGACACATGCACACGTATGTTTATTGCGGCACTATTCACAATAGCAAAGACTTGGAACCAACCCAAATGTCCAACAACGATAGACTGGATTAAGAAAATGTGGCACATATACACCATGGAATACTATGCAGCCATAAAAAATGATGAGTTCATGTCCTTTGTAGGGACATGGATGAAGCTGGAAACCATCATTCTCAGCATACTATCGCAAGGACAAAAACCCAAACACCACATGTTCTCACTCATAGGTGAGAATTGAACAATGAGAACACATGGACACAGGAAGGGGAACATCACACACCAGGGCCTGTTGTGGGGTGGGGGAGGGGGGAGGGATAGCATTAGGAGATATACCTAATATAAATGACGAGTTAATGGGTGCAGCACACCAACATGGCACATGTATACATATGTAATAAACCTGCACGTTGTGCACATGTACCTTAAAACTTAAAGTATAATAATTAAAAAAAATCACGTACACACACACACACAAACACAAACACACACACAAAAACCAAACTTAAATCTGTTGACATCAAAGCCAGTATTCTTAACCATTCCCAGGGCCTCAGTTTTATTTACATCTTTGAAACAGGAACAATGAATTAACTCTACCTTTTTAATAAACTCATTTTTAGTATCAAATCAAAGGGTTTTCTTCGAGACATTTGAGACAGGTGTCACTTTGTTGCCCAGAGCTGGAGTGCAGTGGCATGAAGCTCACTGCAGCTTCGAACTCCTGGGCTCAAGAGATCCTTCTGTCTTAGCCTCCTAAGTAGCTGGTACTACAGATACACACTACCATGCCCAGCCAATTTTTAAAAAGTTTAGAGATGGAATCTCACTATGTTGTCCAGGCTGGTCTTGAACTCTTGGCTACAAGGAATTCTCCCATCTTGGCCTCCCAAGGTGCTGGGATTACAGGTGCAAGCCACTTACCAGGCCAACAGTTTTTAATGTTTAACTACACAGGCAGTCCCCTAGAGTTGATGTTTTTCCAGTCTCCCTTGAACCTAAGTGTCACCACATAACTAGGTTCTGGTCAATAGCATGTAAGGAGAGGTGTTGTATGCAATTTCTGGTCATGCCCTTAAGGGAAAGAGTATATATCCCCCCTCTTCTTTTACCCATTCCCTGCTGACTGGAACACAGATAAGCAACCTTGTGAGTAAGTTAAGCAGCATCCAAGGTGAGTAACCTTGGACCCTGAGGCTGAGAACAACACCTGAGGGAGGATGAACCCACAGACAAAAAGAGCCTGGGTCTCTTTTACCTTGGGAATTATACTAGCCTTGGAATTGCTACTGGCAGACTGTCATGGAGGGAAAATTAACTATCTCATCTAATCTTCTGTTATTTTGTGTTTCTGGTATACGCAACTACACCAATATCCTTACCAAAATATCATCCATGTAAAATAGAAACATAGGAGAAAGGACTTATGGTTAGGGATCAGGAAGCCTGGCTTTCTTCTCCTCTTTGTTACTAACCTACTGTGTGACCTAAGGCAAGTCACCCTTCTTCTCTGAACCACAGGTCTTTCTCTGTGAAGTGAAAGGAGCAGAATGAGAAGTAACTAAAATCCTTTCCAGCTTGGATGATCTGTGAAACAAACAGTGCCATTTATAATAGATAGTTATTTATTCCAGCAGTCCCCAACCTTTTTGGCATCAGAGACAGTTTTCATGGAAGACAATTTTTCCATGGACCAGGGGGGATGGGGTGGGGATGGTTTTGGGATGATTCAAGTGCATTACATTTATTGTCCACTTTATTTCTATTATTATTCCATCTTAATATGTAATAAAATAATTATACAACTCACCATACTGTAAAATCAGTGGGAGCCCTGAGCTTGTTTTCCTGCAACTAGATGGTCCCATCTGGGGGTGATGGGAGACAGTGACACCCAAAGCGTGTTGCCTATGTCCAGTCTGAGAAGAAGGAATCCTCCTAAGAAGGAAGGATCCCCTTCCTTCTCAGTTCGGGGTCTTTTGTGGTTGGGAAGTAATACTCAAACTCTTTTGAAAACTGAGATAGGTGATCATGCACCAGCTGGGAGAAAGAAAGCCCTGGCTCAGTCTTTTTCAAAATCTCTGCTGATATTTGAAACATGTCAGAAATCCCATTGTTCACTGGTTGCCCCCATAATTTCAGTTTGGCTTTGAATGCAGCCACTTTATCTGCCAACTTGAACACAGTTGTCGTTCTCCGCTGAAAGTGACAGATTGAGTTCGCTGAGCAGGTTGAATATGTCACACTAGTAAGCAAGTTTTGCAACCCATTCTGTGTCACTGAAATGTGCTGCCAATGATGACTGTTTTTCTAAAACAAATCTCTGGAGTGGCTCTGGTAACTCAAAAACTCTGGCCAGTGATCTAGCTTTAGAAAACCATCTCATGGCCTGGCGTGGTGGCTCACGCCTGTAACCTAGCACTTTGGGAGGCTGAGGTGGGCGGATCACCTGAGGTCGGGAGTTTGAGATCAGCCTGACCAACATGGAGAAAACCCATCTCTAATAAAAATGCAAAATTAGCCAGGCGTGGTGGCACATGCCTGTAATCCCAGCTACTCGGGAGGCTGAGGCAGAAGAATTGCTTGAACCCGGGAGGGGGAGGTTGCAGTGACCCACCCGAGATCGCTTCATTGCACTCCAGCCTGGGCAACAAGAGCAAAACTCTGTCTAAAAAAAAAGAAAAGAAAGAAAACCACCTCGTTTCTGTGTATAAGAGAAGACGTGTGTGCTCTATGTTCATCTCATCACAGAGCTACACAGACATGAGTTAAGTGCATATACTTTAATGTGATTGATAATTTTAATCACATCCTGCAAAACGTTAAGTTCAGGTGACATTTTTCGGCTAGGCAGCATTTCTCTATGGATGACACAGTGCATAGACTCACATTCAGAAGCAACCTCTTTGACCTGAGTAGTGAAACCAGAAAGCCATCCAGTCATGGCAGCCACTCTGTCCATGCATATACCAACACAAAATGACCAGTTCAGTTTTCCTGATATGTAATCATTCTAAGACTTGAATAGTTCTGCAGCTGTGGTGTTCAGTGGCAACAAAAGTACACATAACTTATTCTCATGTACATCCTCCTGAAAAATATATTGCACAAAAACAAGCATTGTTGCCTTATTGTCAACACTGGTAGACTCATCAACCCGGATTGCATACCATGGTGACTCATTAAACCTCTCTAACAATTGTGCCTCAATATCCTCTGCTATTTCACCAATTCTTCTAGTTATGGTGCTAGCTGAAAGAGAAACACATTCCACCTTCTGAACTGCAGCTTCTCCAAACAAATTCATGACAAGTATCCTTAGCAGCAGGCAGGATCAAGTCTTCACCAACAGTAAAGGGCTTCTTGGCTTTAGTAATGCAGTTAGCTACTAAGAATGACCCTCTCAGTGCAGACACATTTGATGAAGTGGTAGCCTTCAATAATTGCTTTCATTCTTTGTGTTCACATGTTTTGCTTTTGGAAAAACTCCAAAGACTTGTCTTTTAATGCAGGGTGCTTGGTCTCCATGTGGCGAAGCAGTTTTGAAGGTCTCATGGCTCTGCTGGATAGTTGGTCACCAAATATTATACAAAGCAGGCATGAAGAATATGATCCTCCTGTTGCAATGATGCTATAATTTAAGTAGGACTCTTGGCATTTTCTTTCAAATGCAGCCGTCTTTTTGTTGGCAGTCTTAAGAGAGTCTTCTAGCTGTTTCATCATTGGGTCTTTCCCCCTTTTCCAAGAAGCTTTCCAGTGACATTTGTTTTTTACTCATTTTGGCTAGGATTAGCTTGTGTGCTTACGAAAACTGACTGAGACAAGTGTGCACTGTGGGAAAGAGGTGCCGATGGAAATGGTAAAATAACGGGCAGGCCATACGCAGACTAAAGTAAGTGTCAGATTCTGACTTAAAGCCTGCCACCAGATGCAACTTGTCACTTGCCAGTCATGGATAAGGTTTTCATATGAGTCTACAAGCAATTGATTTATTATGGTCTGTGTGCAGTCAAGACTCTCTGCTAATGTTAATCTGTATTTGCAACTACTCCCCAGGGTTAGCAACACTGCCTCAGCTCCTCCTCAGATCATCAGGCATTAGATTCTCATACGGGGCACACAACCTAGATCTCTTGCACGTGCAGTTCACAATAAGGTTCACACTCATATGAGAATCTGATGCTGCAGCTGATCTGACAGGAAGTAGAGCTCAGGTGGTAATGCAAGCAGTGGGGAGTGGCTGTAAATACAGATGAAGCTGTGCTTGCTTGCCTATTGCTCACCTCATGATGCGCAGCCTGGTTCCCTGGGGCTTGAGGACCCCTGACTTATTCCACAATTATTTATAAAGTGTCAACTATTTCAGGCACTGGGCTATGCACTGCAGCCATAAAGATGAACAAAAATGGCCTTGTTTTGGTCTATGAGAAGTTTATAATCTAAAGAAAAGAGTCATGCCGAAAAGCAGTTACCATCCTGTGAGGTTTAAATTTGACAGGTCCATCTGAACATGGAGTCAAGGAGCCCCTCATCTGTCTGAGAAATCTTGGAGGAATACAGAAGCATGGTGACAGGTAAACTAAAACTTGAAGAATGAGCAGAAAATCAATCCTCTAGACTGGGCAGGGGAAGCAGGTTCGGAAAAGGGCATAGCAGAAGGGAAGAAAAACATAATCAAAGGCATGAAGGCATGAATTAACAAGGTGGATCTGAGGAAGAGACAATTCAAGGTAGCCATGGTACGGTCATGTTGGAGAGACCAGCAGAGTGTGAAGCTGCACAGATGAGCAGGGAACAGTCAGAGAAGAAATGCTCCTTGACTAGTGGCTGAAATCATGATCCTGGAGATTATGGGGAGCTACTGAGGGATTTTAATAAGGAAGAGGCATGATCCTATTTGCACAAGGGAAAGCTGATTGTGGCCAAAATATGGTGGAAGTAATTCATGGTATAAAAACACAGCAGGGGTACAAGTTGGAGACTATCCCAACAATTCATTCAAGATACTTTGTGTCTGACCAGTTCTATGATGTGAAGATGAACTCAAAAATATTCAAATATGTTTGACCATTTGACAAATCTTTTTCAACTTAAGAAGCAAGGGTTAAGAAGAAGGCAATGTCTAATTTAGGTTTCTGGCCAGGGAGACTAGAGAGATGATGGCATTAACTGAGAGAGAGAATACAGGAAGGTGAGCAGCCTCCTGAGTTTAGAAGAAAGAGGTGAGCTGAGAATGAACATACTGAGGGGAAGTGTATATAGGGCACCCAGGTATGCTGGTCTAATGAGAAAAATCATAACCAACAGTTACCATGAACCTGGATGGTTCTAAGTAGTTTACATGTGTGGTGAGGCCTTTAACCCTCACAAAAATTCTACCTAAGTATTATTGTTTTCCTCATTGATAGAGAAAAAAACAGACACAGAGAGTTTAAATAACCACTTCAAAGTCACATATTTAATAAGTGGAAAAGCTAAGACTTGGATTCTGACAGATGGGCCCCCAAACAGTGCTGGTAACCAGTAGACCACACCAATGTGAGCTATATGATAATGGTGCTCCAGAGGGGACCTGGGCTGGAAATTCCTAAGTAGGAATCTGGGCTGGGCATCAGCATCTTCATAGCATGATAAATTATTAGACTGAATGAGGTCATTCTTGGAAGAAAACTACAAAAGTTCTGAGTATGTAACTGAAAAACATCAATATTTAAAAATTGGGCCAACAGATTTCCAAAAAGATAACAAAAAATGGATTAATGTGGGTGAGGCCACGTAGGTGAAGCAATTAATTACATAAAATGTTATTGAGTGCCTACTAAGTGACAGGTCTGGGACTATAAGTTGTAGTCCTTGTCCTTGAAGGTGTTTGTGGGGAGAGAACAGACATACAAATGCTCAGCTACCTGATACAATGGGTGTAATGAAGGAGCTGTTTACAGGATGCCACAGAAGCTCAGAGGAGGGAGCCCCTAAGTTACTCTGGGAAGTTCAAAGAAGATTTCACAGATATGGGAGCACTTGAGCAGAGGTTTAATAGAAGAACAGGAGTTTACTTGATTGACAGAACGTGTTATTCTTGCACTGCTATAAGAAATATCTGAGACTGGGTAATTTACAAGAAAAGAGGTTAATTGGCTTACAGTTCTACAGGCTGTACGGAAACATAAACCCAGCATCTGCTTCCAGGGAGCCCTCAGGAAGCTTCTAGTCATGTCAGAAGGTCAAGGGGGAGCAGGCATTTCCTATCATGGGAGCAGAAGTAATAAAGAATCCAAGGTGCTACACAGCTGTAAAGAGCCAGATCTCATGAGAAGTCACTACAGCGAGGACAGCAACAAGGGGATGGCACTAAACCATTCATGAAAAAAAATCCACCCCCAAGATCCAGTCACCTCTCACTATGCCCCACCTTCAATTCAACATGAGATTTGGGTGGAGACACAGATCCAAAGTATATCACAAGGAAATAAAGGACATTACAGTTAAAAGAGAAACACTGTGTTCAGTATCAATTAGGACTCATGTTTGTCAACAACTCACCCAAGAAACAACAGATTAATGTGGTCAGAAGCAGGCAGGAATAGGCCATTTCATCTTGGTGTAGTGGCTCCACCATGCCATAGGATAGTAGACTCTTTCCATCATTTCTGTCTTCCATCCTTAGCATTTGGCCCCAATGTCACCTCATGGTCCCAAGATAGCTGCTGCACTTCCAGACTCCTATGTTTACATTAGAGGCCCAAATGATAAAAAAAAGAAAAAAAAAAGGGCTACAAGGCTAAAGGGCATGCTGAGTCTGTATCCTTTAAGATTGTTTCTCAAACACTTCACATCACCAACACACAGCCACATGGCTACAGTTGGCTGCAGAAAAATATGGAAAGGTGAGTATTTTTAGCTGGGCACATTGGTGTTCTTTTTTAGTGACAAGAAAGGGAAAATGGGTGTTGGGTAGATGAACAGGCATCTACCATATTGCTGTAGAAGAATTGTGGGTCTGGAAGATAGAAAAATCTGTCCCTAGTTGTAGACACGACTTTAGCCCAGCCCTATAAAGGCTCTGGGTTTCAATTTTGTCTTATGTGAAAAATAGACACGAACCTCACCCGTGTCACGTAACTATCACTAGTATCTTTGTAGAAGGCACATCACAAAATGCTTGGGACCAAAAGTAAAGAGCTTTGCCTATATATGAAGAAGGATTGTAATTTTCTGTTAATAATTTTGAGAAGGAGACTCAGGAAATGGACCACCACCTATTCAGAAAATGTTCTCTGAGGTACAAAAGAAGACACACACAATGTGTGTTTATCTCACAAGCAGACATTTTTAGCATATGCATCTAATGCCTTAGACTCTATTCCAATTGTTGAGCAGATAGGTGTTTTGTTTTTTTTTTTAGCAGTCCTAGATAAAAGCGTGTATTGTTGAAATGTATTGAAACCAGATTAAAGAATAATAATGCTATAAGCACGAGGCTGCTATGCTGGGAGCCTGTCACCATGGGTGGCTAAGTAAGTGGTAATAGAAAGGACCAAGAGGAAGCTGATAATGCCCATATCTGATGTGGAGGATGTAGTTTGTGAGGCTGCCTCCTGTAACAATCCCATCTTCTTTCTTCATTTCCTGAACAATCCCGCCAGTGGCAGGGAAGGGAGCAACTGGCATTCTTGCTGCCTGCCTGCTGAGCAAAGCCAAGATGATTAATTTTCATTTGCAGAAAGATGAATTATCTCTGCCCCCACATGCTAGCACACAGAGTCCAGTAATTTATTTTTTCTTCCAACTTTATTTTAACATAGGTCCAGATGGGACTCTGGGCTAGCCAGTCAGGATTGCTAAATGGCTATGTCTTTTGGGAATTTGTATGTTAGCCTGAAAATGATGTTCAACAAATATTTATTATTAACAGTAATAACAGCTAACAATTATTGAACACTTACTTTGTATAGGACTTCAATGTGCATGATTTTACCAATGATGATGTTGAGGCATGGAGAGGTCACATACTTTTCCCAATGCTTCATTACATTGGAGTTGGGATTTAAATGTACTTTCTCTCTGATTCCTGTATTCTTAACCACTGTGATATATGAGTGACCAGACCAAGCACCTACTATGTCCTATTTTTGACCATGGGAAGACAGGCTTGTAAACAAGAATTACAGAGGCTCACTGGGATCTGTGTGGGAAGGTGACACACAGAGAGGAATGAGCAACTGTAGCAGGGAGGAAAGGAAAGATGAAGAAGAAGGTGATGCTGGTGCTGTGTATTACTGGACACCAAGTTAGGAGTCCTAAATGTCATCCCTTCCCCATTTTGAGTGGCTGTGTCACATTGGGCAAGGCACTCTGCCTCTCCAAGCCTCAGTTTTCCCATCTGTAAAATGGAAGACTTGCCTCAACCATCTAGCTAAATGGTGGTGAGGCTTGGTAACTTTCTAAACGTCCCAGTTGGGTAAAGCTGGGAAGAATTTACCACTGTGAACTTTCTCTTATTCCACAGGGCAGTGGCTTGAAATAGTGAAAATTTATCTTCTACCTTCTTAGCTTTCAAGCTCTCTCCTTGCACCTCCAAAAGGAGGAGATATAATGCGTGTAATAATGTGTGTGGAGATATAAGGTGTGTAATGAAGGAGCTGTTTACAGGATACCATGGAAGCTCAGAGGAGGGAGCCCCTAAATTACTCTGGGAAATTCAAAGAAGATTTCATCAGTGCATTTAACTATGATGGTGAGCCTACAACCAGCAGCCTTTTCCAGTTCCTCATATGAAAGCTTGGTGGTACCACTGTCAGAACAGAAAACCTTATAGCCATCCATGCACTGCTGTGAATTGTCCAGGTTGACAGGCTGGGGCTAGAGGGCTGAACACTGGAGAGCCTGGCAACCTCCTAGGACTTTTAACTCAGCTGCATTATTTTTTTAATCTTTATAGAAAACATGTTTAATGTGGACACATTTGGGTATTGATTAACTGATTCATTCAATCAACAAAAATGTACTGAATTCCCGCTGCATCGCGGGAGCTGTTCTAGGTCCTGAGGATATATATATAATGGTTAACAAAATTGGCAAAACTTCTTGCATTCACAACGCTTATATTCTTGTGCTAGAGGCAATTATAATAAACAAAACACCAGATAAATGGGAATTTGAGAAAATCTTGGGTATCAAGGCTTCAAGGCTCCTGTTTAATTCTCTCATAGCTCACATCATCTTCCACCAAATCCACCACACTGAACTGACGATGCCTTGACAGTGTCAGGCTCTCACTTGCCGCGGGTTCTTTGCACATGCGGTTCCCTCTTTCTACCCTCTCTGCATTGCCTCCTTACCTTAAAAATTCTTTCTCATCTCTAAAATCTAAGCTTAAATACCACTTCAAGAAATCATTCCCTATACTCTTCCACATTTGCTCTGCATTTCTCCCGTTATGGCATATATCATGGTATATTGGGTCTGCTGGAACCACCTTAAGAACAAGATATTAAATAATATAAATATTATAAACAATTGCTTCCAATTTATAGCCTAGATGAGACTGAAATTCTTTTGGAAATGTGTAAATTAATAAAAGTAACTAAAGAGAAAATAGAAAACCTCAAAAGCCTATATCTACCGAGAATATTGAATGAATAATTTAAAACCTTCCCCCAAAGAAAACTCCAGGCCTAGAGGGCTTCAATGGTAAATTCTAATACATATTTAAGGTATAAATAATAACACTCCTACATCATTTCTAAAGAACCCATATAAACAAATAGCATCTCAAATCCTACCTCGCAAAACAAACAAAATAGATTATAGACCTAAATGTAAATGCTGAAATTGTAAAATTTCTTGGAAAAAAAGAAAACACAGAAGAAAAATGTTCATGGCCTGATGCAGGCAAAGATTTCCCTGAAAGTGCATCAAAACTGCACTAGCCATAAAAGAAAAGTAATAAAAAGTTAAAATTCTACTTTTCAAAAGGTACTGAATTTAAAAAGGGGAGTAACTATGTCAGATAATGGATGTGTTAATTTGCTTGACTATGGTAGCCACGTCACTATCTCTATGTATGTCGAAACATCATGTTGTATACCTTAGATATATACAGCAAAATTCAAAAAGATAAAAAGAAAATTTAAAATGTAAGCCACTTAAATATTATGTATCTATCATCAGACAGAAGACTTGTATCCAAATTATATGAATAATTTATCTCAGTAACAAAAAGACACAAAAAGAAATTTAAAAAGTAGGTAAAAGATTTGAACAGACATGTCACCAGAGGAGATATACGAGTGACCAATAAGCATATATAAAGGGAAATGCACATTAAAACCATAGTGAGGGCTGGGTGCGGTGGCTCATGCCTGTAATCCCAGCACTTTGGGAGGCTGAGGCTGGTGCATCACAAGGTCAGGAGATTGAGACCATCCTGGCCAACATAGTGAAATCTCATCTCTACTAAAAGTACAAAAATTAGCCTGGCGTGGTGGCACGTGCTTGTAGTCCCAGCTATTCAGGAGGTCGAGGCAGGAGAATTGCTTGAACCCAGGAGGTGGAGGTTGCAGTAAGCCGAGATCACGACACTGCACTCCAGCCTGCGAGACAGAGCAAGACTCCATCTCAGAAAACAACAACAACAACAACAACAAAATCCTAGTGAGAAATCACTAAACACTAATGGGAATCACTAAAGTAAAACAATAAATAACTAAAGGAGGGAAAAGAAGGAAGAAAGAAAGAAAAGAAACCTAGAAACATACACTTAGTTCCTACAGGGAGCAAGTACAGCTCTTATCAGTTTCTGGCGGGTGTGTGAAATGATACCAAAACTTCAGAGAAAGTCTGGCCGTTTCTTATAAAACTAACCACACACGTACTCTATGATCTAGAATTTCTCCTCCCAGGTATTTCCCTAATAAAAAGAAACAAAACATATGTTCATAGAAACACTTGTATAAAAACACTTATAGCTTTATCGACCAGAACTTGAAATAGTCAAGATGTCCATCAATAAGAGGATAAACACATTGCAGTATATTGATATAATGGAATACTATTCAACAATAAAAAGAATGAAATATTGATAATACAAGGACATGGTGAAGCTGAAAGGCATTATGCTAAGTAAGAGGCTTACAAAAGAACGTACATGTGGTGTTTCCACTTATATGAAGTTCTAGAACAGATAAACTAATCTATGGTAGAAAAAGATCAGAAGTTGCTTTGGCAGTGGGGGGAAGGGTGTTTCTTGGGAAAAGGCATGGGGGAATTCTAGAGTGATGTAACACTGTATGTTTCGATAGGGGTTTTGGTAACATGGGTATGTGTATTTGTCAAAACTCAAAAAAAAATATGTTAAACATTTTTGTGTTTTATTGTATGTTAATTTTACCTTAAAAGAAAATACATAACAAATATTGCATTAGTAAATTAATTAAAATTGAAAGTGAGTTAGTAAAACATCCTGACGTATTTAAAAGGAAGTTGACTGGTGTCTGCAATTTACTTTGAAATGTATCAAAAAATAAGGTAGATGAATAGAAGATGGATAAATGCATAGAAATATAATAAAGCAGGGAAGGAAAATCTTAATGATAGAGTCTAGGTTAGGATTCTACTGTAAAATTTTTTTAACTTTTCTGTATGTCTGAAAAATTACATAATAAAATGTTGGAAACAATTATGCTGACCCTATGAAGCTGGACACAAAAGAGAACATACTGTATAATTCCATGCATATGAAATTCTAGAAGAGGCAAAACTTGTCTGTAGTGATAGGCCTCAGATCAGTGGGTATCTGGGCTGGGAAGCAAGGAGAGTTGACAGAGAGGGGGCAAGAGAGAACTTTCTAGGGTGACGGGAATATTCTATGCCCTCACTAGTTATATGGGTGGATACATATAACAAAATGCTTCACACTGTTCACTTAAAATAGATGCACTCATTTATTGTACCTAAATTCTACCTCAATAAATTTGATTTTTAAATGCTCTCTCCTACTGTATAACCAAGTATTCTTTCCAACATTCATGTGCAGGTGAGGATGGAGCTGGGCATAACTAATGCCTCTTAGGGTGTCCTCAACCTACAGAGGTTCAGACCTTCCCTATGCTCCTAGTGGTAACATCCTTCAGCTGGCTCATCCCTAGTGGCACCAAGGGGTCCCATATTAAATGAGCAAGCATCTAGAGTAAGTCCAGGTTGGTCCTTTCTGTTCTCTTCTGCCCCACAGGGAAGGGTGCTGGCAGTGAATAGAAGCCAGCCTGGGTGAGCTGTGTCTGAGGAGTGGAGAGGGTGCTGGCATGCATCACCTTCTGGTATGCAGAAGTGGAAGCTGCCTGAAGACTCCTTGAAGGTAGGGCTGGGGCACAGTTGCTGAAGATGGGCCATCTATTCAAGGTACTGCCATGAGCTTGGAAAACATGTCCCTCAATCCACCTGTGCAATCACACGCTAAGAAAGAATGTGTCTTTGGGCTGGCTCCAGGTCAGGACAGCATGTTGAGTCCTACTGTGGCCCTAGAATGTTAGTTCTCCTTTTCTCTTGGTCCTCTTCTCAGGCTCAGGCGGGTCTTATTTTAGGACCTCAAAACACAAAGGGTCAGACACCCTTCTGAGGACAGCTCCCACAGACTCTTTGTCCCGGACAAGAGAGACCACCTGCAGTAACCTCAGAATGCCCTGATGTTCCCCCCGGCTTTGTTTGAACTCTGAGTCTTTACTCTTTAACTCATAGACCTCAGCAAGTCTATGTTGTGTTCCGGTACCTTCTTTGGTGAAATAAGGGGTACAAATTTATTCTGAATAGGACTCTGCTTCATTTCTTTAAACATCGGTATTCCCAGGAGAGTGGCAGCTTTTTGATGGTAGGGATAGTTTCCTGTTCATCTCTCACCTGTATATTCTAGCATAAGCTATGCGATGTTTACTGAATGAGCATAATGAGCATTTATTTTCTAAGCACTGCTCCATATATTAACTATCATTAGGGAACACAATAAAGAGAAGACATGTCGTTTTATCCTTGAGGAGCATGTTCTTCTGTCATGATGATAAGACATTTCCACAGAAAACAATTAGGGAAAAACACAAGTGACTACAGACTTGGCTCCTGACTTTCTTACAGTCAATTTCCCATTCATGCTCTGGGAAGGCAGAAAGTGGAAATGATCTTTGCAGGCTGCAGATATTAGGAGTGTTGCCATGGAGGAAGTGTGGTTTGACCCAGTGCTTGGTGGATTGGTGTATTTTAGGTAGATATGAAGGAAAAGGGGAGCAATTCTGGGCAGGAGACGGGGCATAAGTGAGGCTTAGAGATGTGCATGATCACAGCCTGTAAGCAAATACCACTGCCCATTATTTTCTCATTTGCAGCTGCAATGCTGGACTCTTGCTATTTCTAATTTTTATCATGCAGGAAGTTTTAAAGAGGAAGTAATTTGTTTTGTAGATCATTCTTTCTTTAAGAATAACTTATGGGATAGTTTATAGACCAAGGAGCACTTTCTGCTGCAAAGAGATGATCAGGACTTTTGATCCTGGGTAACAAGTCCTAGGTTGAGAGCCTAGAAACAAAGACTCGAATCCCAACCCTGCCAGTGACTTGCTGTGTTCCTACCAGCAGGTCCTCTCTAAATGTATCAGGCTTCTGCCCCTTCCTCTTTGGATGTCTTCTATATGTACACAGTTGGAGCACTTACTTATTTTGTTTAGGAAATCAATGCGATTCCCTAAACAATCTGAGCAATTGTTTATCCAAATGAGACTCTGTCATCGCCAATAGAATTCACATCTCAAATGCATTCCAGATTCCCTATTACTCAGCAATCTGAGTCCCCTTTCTCTCTACATTAGAAGATAACAAAATGTTCTTTGAAATGGCAAACGTGAAGAGCTGGGTCTGAATGTCGTCTCTATGAGAACCGTGACATCAGACTCTTCCATCTCAGTTCTGCCACCTATAAACCCAGAGGGGAGGACCCAGTGATCCACCACTCTCACACCCCTGATATGCTTCTGTAACTTGCATCATGCTCAATTTTAATTTTCCCCTGTTTTTACCTATACCCTGCACCCTTAGGAGCCAAGACTCCTCTCTGTTAGATGTTTTGCTTTTCCACTTCTGGAATTATTCTTAAAAATACTGTTTTGACTGTTCCCTTTATACATGTTTTTCCCTCTGTGTGAAATGCCCTTTCCTCTCCTCTCTTTCTCTGCCTGCACCAACCTTGGTTACTACACTTATTACAGTGTCCTGTAATTATGTCTTTAGGTCCTTATAAAAGTATCCAAATGTTTGAATGAGAAAATTGAACCTTTCACCTTCTTCAAACATAGCCCCTAGTATTTTTTCTACCACTGCACTACACTGCATACCTCTTGGGCAACTCTGCCTTATCTCATTCTTCTGCATTACAAGTGCACACAGCAATACCAGACAGCACATAGAAGACACTTAAAAAATGTTGGTTGGAAGAATGACTACTAGCATTCTATTGTTTGTCACAGAATTCAATGTAATTATTTTAATTCAAGATGAAGCAAAGCACAATTAAGAGAGTCAAGTTGCTTTGCTGCCAAAAATATATTAAAATCCCAAACCATAAAATAATTATCTTCTTGGCTTCGATGCTGCTGCTGTCTATGATGAAAGCATGCGATGAGAAGCACAGTAGCTCGGCAACAGTGGAGCTCTGTAGGGAAGGAAGGGTGTGGGTATTGAAACCAACAGTGAGGTGCAAATTCTAGCTCTTTCACTCACTTGAGGACTGATTTTGGACATGTCTTTGTTATCCATAAAATGGAGATGATACTTGTGCCTGCCTCATCCAATTTTGTGAAGAACAAATGACTGAATCTATGTAAAGTGTTTAGAAAAATGCCTGGTACCACGTGCACGCGCCTATTTATTGCGGCACTATTCACAATAGCAAAGATTTGGAACCAACCCAAAGGCCCATCAGTGATAGACTGGATAAAGAAAATGTGTCACATATATACCATGGAATACTATGCAGCCATTAAAAAGGATGAGTTCATGTCCTTTGCAGGGACATGGATGAAGCTGGAAACCATCATTCTCAGCAAACTAACACAAGAACAGAAAACCAAACACTGCATGTTCTCACTCATAAATGAGAGTTGAACAATGAGAATACACATGGAGACAGGGAGAGGAACATCACACACCGGGGCCTGTTGGGGGGCTGGGGGAGAGATAGCGTTAGGAGAAATACCTAATGTAAATGACGAGTTGATGGGTGCAGCAAACCAACATGGCACATGTATACCTATGTAACAAAACTGCACATTGTGCACATGTACCCTAGAACTTAAAGTATAATAATAAAAAAAAGATGTCTGGTAAAGGCAGTACTTACAGTTAAATGTCAGCTTTATTCCTGAGCCCTCTGTTCCCGGAGAGTCCATGGGACAGAAGAAAGAAAAAGGTGGCAGAGTTCTGGGGTGCCCATGGCTCTGAGAGAGCAAGAAACCAGATATATGAGCAGTACTAGGACAGAAGGGAGCCAGGAGGCGATCTCCAGTCTGAGTGTGCAGAATGGGTTATCCCCAGCTTAGGTTCAGCCACATGCCCAATTCCGCACAGAAGAACTCATGTGCCAGTGTGTGCAATTGCCATGTCCTAAGGCTACAGTGACGAACAGGCTCATATCTGGGGATAATGTGCATTTGTACTATCAATGGTAGGCTATGGCTACTGACCAGATTCTCACAAGGCTGGTCTCATCTCCAAGTGCCCCACTCATCCATGAATCCTTCCTGGTATTCATACTATTCATACTTTACATATAAATAAACTCAATGATAGCAAAAATAATGATGATAGCCAACATTTACTGAGTGTTTATGATTTTCTAGATGCAGAATGTCTTCTATGAACCATCTTATTTAATCCTTAAAAGAAGCCCATGGGCTGGGCGTGGTGGCTCACGCCTGTAATCCCAACACTTTGGGAGGCTGAGGCAGGCAGATCACGAGGTCGAGAGATCAAGACCATCCTGGCCAACAGGGTGAAACCCCGTTCTACTAAAAATACAAAAATTAGCTGGGCATGGGCATGGTGGTGCATGCCTGTAGTCCCAGCTACTTGGGAGGCTGAGGCAGGAGAATCGCTTGAACCCAGGAGGCGGAGGTTGCAGTGAGCCGAGATCGCGCCACTGCACTCCAGCCTGGTGACAGAGCGAGATTCTATCTCCAAAAAAAAAGGGAAACCTATGGAGCTATTTATAAATAAATATAATTCTTTTTATAAATGAGACATTGAGACACAGAATCTATGCTGTCCTGGTGATGGCTCACACTGAGTTGCAAGAGCCAAAGCAAGCTGACGGAGTTTTAGAAATTTTGTGGGTTGGTTGTTAAGTGCAGCTCTTGTTACAAATTAAGTTATATAAACTTTCAATTAAATGAATTATATTTAAAACGGAACCAAGTATTCAAAACTCATAACTTTCTAGTTATTTTACTACATTTCACTATTACGTATGCTTTTGAGGATATTTATGTTAACTGTGTCTGTGTGGTAAAAATACTAGAAAATGGTATGCTACTGCACATCACTTCTCACTGATACCATGTTGGTATTTTAAAGTAGGCCATAGTGAAAGTATTTACATCATGGAAAATAGAAGATGCTACTAGGCAGAGCTAGCTTGGTTTCCCTCCATCCCTCCCTCCCTCCCTTTGTCCCTCCCTCCCTCCCTCCCTCCCTCCCTTCCTTGCTTCCTTGCTTCCTTCCTTCTTCCCCATCTCCTTTTCTCCCTCTTTTTGGAAAACTGGTTTTAAACATTTACTAGCACACTACTGAGCAGAGAAATTAAGTAACTTGTCCATGGCCTTCCCTCTGAGTGTTAAGACAAAGACTCAAACTCAGCCATTAACTCCAGCGACGATTCTATTAACCACATTCCGAGAAGACTGATACTGCTTATAAACAACCCAGTATGTGTTTCATGAACCCACTTAATTGTTACCTGTCCTACACCCCATACCCTTCTCTGATTTCTCACCTAGTTCTTCTCAACTCACAGAAATGTCATCTTTTCCTGGTATTCTCTGATCTACCTCGGGTCCTTAGTAAACTCTAAACTCTGCCAGAGTAGGGCCTGTGGCTCTGTCTGATTTATCACTGTAATCCACCTTTCTAGGATAATGCTTGGCACTATATTCAATTTTTTTTTGCACAGGGAATAAAAACAATTAATTATGTGCATGCATTATTTCTCCTTCTGGAGTGTATGCTCCTTAACAATTAGTTCTATGATTCATTTCTAATACCAGCAGCCCAACACCAGGCACAGAGCCACATATAGATTAAATACTCAGTAGCTATTTGTTTTAGTAAAAGTTACCAGAATTCAGGGATCAGCTTTTTTTTCTTATAGCAAAGCCTCCTGAGAGCAGGTTTTGATGAAATTGGAAGAAGACTATGAAAACTCAGGACCCCAAGTTTTGAAGTATAGGATGACCTTAGTCATGGTGTAGGGGCGATAGCCTGCGGCATGGAGAATGGACAATATGTATAAGGGTATAAGGGAGATTTAGGGGAGTAAAGCACACTGGAAGGGTTGGCTGTGATAGCCACCTTGCCTATCTTCTGCTTCGCTCAGGCTCAGTACTTCAGATGGCTAAGAGCAATCATGTCTGTGTATGTGTTTCACATTAAAACAAAAAAGTAATTTGTCATGGTGAAAATAACCCTAGCCAGGGCCCAAGGGAGACCTGCATTTGAATCCTGGATGTGTTAGATTGCCTTAATGATCCCAATTTTCTTCCCTTCCATGTATTCACACCTTTGTCCTTAAACTTGACAGCATGTTCCTGTTCTGATCCTGGGCTCATCTGTTTGACCTACGTTAGCCAATAAAATGAGGCAAAAGTAACCACGTTCCAGTTAAAAGATTTGCTTTGTCCAATAGAATGAGACAGAAGTAAACACATGCCAGCTCCAAGACCATGTGCATGTTTTCATTGTTCCCTTAACTGTGCTATCACCATGAGAAGGACTTTCCCTGATGATCCCAGCAAAAGGATGAGAGACACATAAAGTAAACTAACCACAGTGGAAACCAGCCTAGATCAGCCAACCCCTGACAAACATGCAGTCTTTCTTTCTTTCTTTCTCTCTCTCTCTCTCTCCCCCTCCCTCCCTCCCTCCCCCCCCTCCCCTCCCCTCCCCCTTCCTTCCTTCCTTTGATGGAGTTTCACTCTTGTTGCCCAGGCTGGGGCGCAGTGGTGTGATCTCGGCTCACTGCAACTTCTGCCTCCCAGGTTCAAGCGATTCTCCTGCCTCAGCCTCCCGAGTAGCTGGGACTACAGGCATGCACCACCATGCCCGGCTAATTTTTGTATTTTTAGTAGAGACGTGGTTTCCCATGTTGGTCAGGCTGGTCTCGAACTCCTGACCTCAGGTGACCCACCTGCCTCAGCCTCCCAAAGTGCTGGGATTACAGGAGTGAGCCACCAATCCTGCAGATTTGTTATGAATCATAAATGATTCATGTCTAAGTGGTTGAGTTGTGGAGTGGTTTGTTATATAGCAATAGCTAACTGATACAGTGGCCCTTCAGTCTTAGTCAGCTCTGACTGCCATATCATATGCCAGGTGGCTTAAACAGAAATGTAGTTTCTCAGAGTTGCAGAGGCTGGGAAGTCCAGATCAAGGTGCCAGCCAATTCAGTTCTTGGTGAGAGCTGTTTTTGTGGCTGGGGGATGGCTGGCTTCTTGCTCCATGCTCATATGGCCTTTCCTCAGTGCACACATTCAGAGAAAGAGCAAAGAAGCAAGATTTCTGGTGTGTCTACTTGGAAATGGGATGCTAATCCAAACGGATCAGGGCCCCATCATTATGACCTCATTTAACCTTAATTACTTTCTTAGAAGACCTATCTTCAAATATAACCCCACCAGGGGTTAGGGCTTAGACACTGAAATTTTGGGAGGACACAAACATTTAGGCCATACTACCTCCCTTAGGATTCTTTTATTCATCTGAAAGATAAAGATAAGGGTGTATGGTTATAATACACACCCAATAAATATCTATTGAATTAGGAATATTGGACTATATATTTCTAAGAAACATTTCAGGATGGTTTTTTCTTTTCTTGTTGCCATAAAGGTATCTAGAATTGATATGAGAGGGAAAAATGCCCTCCTCTATTCAAATTAAACTGTCTGCACGTAAGGAAGGTCATAGAGATGCCTAATATTCAAATACATGCAAGTACATTTAAGATTATTGAGCAGGGAACTCAACTATTCCATTCAATTGTTCCTTCAGGTCCTAGGTCAGCTCTTGGCATAAAGTAGGTAATTCAATATAGATATCGAATTAAAAGAATGATTGAGGTAATGAGTCCAATCAGGGCTTGTACCTGCCTATAGCTGTCCTCAAAAAGTTCAGGGAGATGAGGCGGGATACAGTCTGAATCATGGGAAGGAATGGTCCTCTGCCTGACTAACAGGAAGTACAAAGAAGAAAACAGAGGAGGTGTTGAGCTGTCCTGATGGCTCAAGGGTTGCCTTGGGGCAGTCCAACTGACACCTCCTTCCTTTTCCTCCTTCGTGATTACTGTGACATCCCACAGCATGTTAACTGCAACTGATTCCAAACCACACTGATGTTCCCCCTTTGTTCTCCAAACCTAATTGTGCTTGTCCTCAGTATCTGCCTGATTGTTCAAATGAGAGATGAGTCATCTCTTGCTTCTTTACATCCCACTCAATGGAGCCCACAGCTCCATTTCCCCACTGAAATGACAAAATCCAATTTGACATTAATTATAGCCACTGAGCTGTCATTTGCTGGGGAGTGACCATGGGCCTGGCAGTGCTCTAGATGAGTAGTCTAAAAGATCTCATCTAATCCTCATCATAATCTTATGATGTGAGTATACTCTTTCTATCATATTGATTAAATAGGGACTCAGAAAGGTTAAGTGATTTTCCCAGGGACACAGAGTTGGATAAAGGGATTTGCAGTTAATCTGATGGACTTTAAAAACCCTGCCCTTTCCACGTTGTCAGATTATCTCCAGTCCAGATGCTTTCTTCTCTTCTTTCTCCATTGTCTCTGTTCTGTGGAATCGGACATTCACCTCTACCCCCATGGTACCTGCACATGTCTCTACTATAGCTCTTATCATATGAGATGATAATTATTCACCTGCTTGACTATCACTCTGCTAGCAATGTCTTATTCTCCCCTCTGTTCTGTATTCTCAGCTCACTGTCAGATATATAGTACCTGTTCCATAAATACTTTTAGAAATTAATTAAATTCCTTCATCTCTAATTACCAAACCTGTTATCTTTCAGAGAGTATAGGGTTACATCTGACATAAATTGTGAAGAAGAAGAGAATCTCCCCTATCAGCCCATTATTTTCTGTAAGAACAAGCCTAGTTAACCCCCCTCCCCAAAAGGGCCAGGGTTCTCTTCAGGTACTCCTGCTGTGAGACAAGAATGGCAGAATGACTCCCATGCCCTGACAGTTGGACGAGATCAAGCTCCCAAGGCGCCGTCTGCTTTCATGGGTTTGGCCTGCCAGGGAAGAGCTCAGCAAATCCAGCTGAAAGAGGTGATGAAGTCAGAGTGAGTGCTGGCTGAGTGCCTGATTCCAGAGATTTACCCTCTTCCAGATGCTGGAAGCATCTTCACCCCATTTTCTTACTGCATTTTCCAGACCTTGTAGATACAATATATTCTCTTTTAAAACAAACACAGACGTGACCCGTCTTTGTCAATGTGACCCGATCTTTGCACAAAATGGTGCCCTACAGCCTACTGGTTACTTGGCTGCAGAAAGCTCTGGGTGTGCGGCAGTACCATGTGGCATCAGTCCTGTGCCAACGGGCCAAGGTGGCGATGAGACCCTTTGAGCCTAAGTACATCCACTATGACCTGCTAGAGAAGAACATTAACATTGTTTGCAAATGATTGAACCGGCCTCTGACCCTCTCAGAGAAGATCGTGTACAGACACCCGGATGACCCCACCAGCCAGGAAATTGAGCGGGGCGGGACGTACCTGCAGCAGTGGCCGGACAGCGTGACCATGCAGGATGGACGGCCCAGATGGCCATGCTGCAGTTCATCAGCAGCAGGCTCCCAAGGTGACCATGCCATCCACCATCCACTGTGACCATCTGATTGAGGCCCAGCTCGGGAGTGAGAAAGACCTGCACCAGGCCAAGGACATCAACCACGAAGTTTATAATTTCCTGGCAACTGGAAGTGTCAAATATGGCTTGAGCTTCTGGAAGCCTGGATCTGGAATCATTCACCAGATTATTCTGGAAAACTATGAATATCCTGGGGTTCTTCTGATTGGCACTGACTCCCACACCCCCAATGGTGGCAGCCTGGGGGGCATCTGCATTGGAGTTGGGGGTGCCGAGCTGTGGATGTCATGACTGGGATCCCCTGGGAGCTGAAGTGCCCCAAGGTGATTGGCGTGAAGCTGATGGGCTCCCTCTCTGGTTGGACCTCACCCAAAGATGTGATCCTGAAGGTGGCAGGCATCCTCACCATGAAAGGTGGCACAGGTGCAATCGTGGAATACCACGGGCCTGTTGTAGACTCCATCTCCTGCACTGGCATGGTGACAGTCTGCAACATGGGCTTAGAAATTGGGACCACCACTTCCGTGTTCCATTACAACCTCAGGATGAAGAAGTACATGAGCAAGACCTGCCAGGCAGACATTGCCAATCTAGCTGATGAATTCAAAGATCACTTGGTGCCTGACCCTGGGTGCCATTATGACCAACTAATTGAAGTTAACCCCAGTGAACTGAAGCTGCACATCAATGGGCCCTTCACCCCTGACCTGGCTCACCCTGTGGCAGAAGTGGGCAAGGTGGCAGAGAAGGAAGAATGGCCTCTGGACATCTGAGTGGGTCTGTGGGGCAGCTGCACCAATTCAAGCTATGAAGATATGGGGTGCTCAGCAGGTGTGGCCAAGCAGGCACTGGCCCATGGCCTCAAGTGCAAGTCCCAGTTCACTATTACTCCATGCTCCGAGCAGATCCGTGCCTCCATTGAGCAGGATGGCTATGCACAGACCTTGAGGGATGTGGGTGGCATCGTCCTGGCCAATGCTTGTGGCCCCTGCATTGGTCAGTTGCACAGAAAGGACATCAACAAGCAGGAGAAGAACATAATTGTCACCTCCTACAACAGGAACTTCATGGGCCACAATGACACGAACCCCGAGACCCATGCCTTCATCACATCCCCAGAGACTGTCACAGCCCTGGCCATTGTGGGAACCCTCAAGTTCAACCCAGAGACCAACTACCTGACAGGCAAGGATGGCAAGAAGTTCAAGCTGGAGGCTCCGGATGCAGATGAGCTTCCCCAAGCAGAGTTTGGCCCAGGGCAGGACACCTACCAGCACCCCCGCATGGGGTACCACTGACCACATCTCAGCTGCCGGCCCCTGACTCAAGTTCCGTGGGCACTTGGACACCATCTCCAACAACTTGCTCAGTGGTGCCATCAACATTGAAAATGGCAAGGCCAACTCTGTGCACGATGCTGTCACCCACGAGTTTGGCCCCTTCCCTGACACTGCCCGCTACAAGAAATATGGCATCAGTTGGGTGGTGATTGGGGACTAGAACTATGGCAAGGGCTCAAGCTGGGAGCACGCCGCGCTGGAGCCTCGCCACCTCAGGGGGCCGGGCCATCATCACCAAGAGCTTTGCCAGGATTCACGAGACCAACCTGAGGAGGCAGGGCCTGCTGCCCCTGACCTTCGCTGACCCAGCTGACAACAAGATTCACCTTGTGGACAAGCTGACCATTCAGAGCCTGAAGGACTTGACGCTGGCAAGCCCCTGAAGTACATCGTCAAGCACCCCAGGAAATCAACCTCCTGAACCACACCTTCAACGAGACGGAGATCGAGTGGTTCAGGGCCGGCAGTGCCCTCTACAGAACGAAGGAGCAGCAGCAATGAGTGCGGCGCCTCCCCAGCAACCCCCCCTCCCCCTCTTCCCCCCTCCCCCAGCTGGTGTCATGTTCAAGTTCGGCTCTACATGCATCATAAGCGGATCCGATCCATCCAGCCATGGCTTCTTATTCCAAGATGGCATAACCAAACGTGCTTCCTGCTCCCCGCTGAGCCCCAGGAGTGACTGTGATTGGGAGGCGGCAGGGAGGCGGAGGGGGTGGGGGGGTTCTTAAAATAACTTTTTAGCCCCTGCCTTCCTATTTTTGGTTTTCAGATTTTAAGCAGCTCCACGCAATTGTATTTATTTTTGATGACAAGACTCCCATCTAAAGTTAGAAAAAAAAAAACAAAAAAAAACCACAGTGGCTCACGCCTATAATCCCAGCACTTTGGCAGGCGGGTGGATCACCTCAGGTCCGGAGTTCCAAACCAGCCTGGCCAACATGGTAAAACCCCGTCTCTACTAGCAATACAAAAATTAGCTGGGTGTGTGGCGCGTGCTTGTAATCCCAGATACTCAGGAGGCTGAGGCACAAGAATTGCTTGAACCCAGGAGGCGGAGGTTGCAGTGAGCCGAGAGTATGCCACTTCACTCCAGCCTGGGCAACAAGAGTGAGACTCTGTCTCAAAAAAAAAAAAAATCCAACACAATAAAACAAAACAAAGTAAAACAAAACAAAGTAAAACAAAACTAATAACAGTGACAATAATATTAACCTTTAGTTTCCTGTAAAACTTGGTTCTTGCTACACGCCTGCACTTTCCTGCCTTCAACATCCTAGTTCGGCTTATCTTGAGTGATTCCATTCTCTCTGTCTTCCAGAATTCATGCCTGGGCACAAAAATTGCCTGTTCCAAAGAGGTAATTAAAGCAGGACGAGACTGATTTCCTGAAGAGGGGAGTGCCAGACAACCTGGCTGTGAACTCAACCCAGCGTTCAAGTAATCCCTGAATTTGTCTGGCAAAAAGCAAACCAGCAGTTACCGAAGATAAGAAATTAGGTGATTTTTTTTTTCTTGCTTGCTTGCTTGCTGGCTGGCTTGCTTTTTTGCCTACGTGAGAGAAGTTACTAAAAGATTTTTATCTTGCTTTCTAAATAATCAATCTTGCCCAATTTCTGCCCCAGCAGAAAACAAAACAAAACAAGTCTGTGTTATGTTCTGCACTGGGATGTTTCAAAGAACAGGTCATGGCTGGGAGCCTTGGGAAACTGTTGTGAGTGCAGCTGGCGTGAGGCGGTAAAGGCTGGAGTTTAGAGAAAATGAGTTTCTGTGGAGAAAGTAAAGCAAAATATCTCACGGTTTTAACCTTTGTATTTTCAAACTCATTTCTGTCCTTACTCCCCAAAGTTTTAGAATCTTAGGAACACGAGTCCAATGACTTCTAAAGTCAAATATGCAAGGTTAAGCAAACTTTGCAGGTTACCTGCACTGCCCTCCACAAAACTGTCCTCACTTTGGACAGCAGCCACAGGTCCCAGAGCTCCCAAGTCACACTCCTTTCTCACCAGCTGGCTGCAAACTCAGAGGCTCCCACTACCTCTTCAGATGTAATGTCAGTAGAATGACTCATAGAACTCAGGAAAGTACTGTACTTATTATTACAATGTTACTTTAGCCAAAAGATAAAAATCAAAACCAGCCAAAGGGAGAAGCATAGGGTGAGGTCTGGGAAAGTTCCCCACCTGAAGCTTCTGTCATCCCCAAAGATGTAACCTTCTCACTATAGTGTGGAAAACTGCCAAACAGGGCAGCTCACTGGAACTGAAAAAAAAATTTTTTTAATGGACATGTAATAATTGTAAATATTTATGGGGTGCATAGTGATGTTGTCATACAAAAAATTCACAGCGATCAGATCAAGATTGGCATATCCATCATCTCAAACATTTATCTATGGGGAATACCATGGAGGTTCCACAAAAAACTACAAATAGAACTACCATATGACCCAGCAATCCCACTACTGGGTATTTATTCAAAGGACAGGAAATAAGTATATCAAAGAGACATCTGTTCCCCCATGTTTATTGCAGCTTTATTCACAATAACCAAAGTGTCCAACCTCAGTGTCCAACAATGGAGGAATGGATAAAGACAATGGATAAAGACAATAGAATACTATCAGCCATAGCAGGCGCAGAGGCTCACGCCTGTAATCCCAGCACTTTGGGAGGCTGAGACGGGCGGATCACGAGGTCAGGAGTTCCAGACCAGCCTGGCCAACATGGTGAAACCCTGTCTCTACTAAGAATACAAAAATTAGCCGGGCGTGGTGGTGGGCGCCTGGAGTCCCAGTTCCTCAGGAGGCTGAGGCAGGAGAATCACTTGAACCCGGGAGGCAGAGGTTGCAGTGAGCTAAGATCGCACCACTGTACTCCAGCCTGGGCAACAGAGCAACACTCCAACTGGGAAAAAAAAAAAAAAAAGAATACTCTCAGCCATAAAAAAGACTGAAATCCTGTCACTCACTGCAACATGGATAGAACTGAAGGACATTATGTTAAGAGACATAAGACAGGAACAGGACCTCTTAGCAAAAAGTATCAGATGTAGTCTGAAGGGCCCACCATGAGTAACGGACACTGCTATCACTGGGGAAATTTCAAGGGCCTAGAGGTTCCCTCCCAGGTACGGTGAGATAAAGGCCAGCCAAATTCTTTTTCATACAATGAGGAAATGCGAACTGAGACTTCATGACCTGATGGATCTCACCATTCTACTTCTTCTCAGCCCTCATTTCTTTTGACAGAACTATCTTACCTCATTAAGGGGCTGTCAGTCCAGCACAGGGTTCTGAGTGTCCAAACACCGGGGTCTCCTCTTAAACCCCCCATCTGGCTGTGTAATCTTAGAAAAGTCCCTTAATTTGTTGAGCTTGAGTGTCCCCAGTTGTAAGTGAAAGTGTTAGACTATAATCCATGAGCTACATCAAACTGATGGTTCTATGGCTAAGCCACTAAAACTCTCTGAGACTAAATTTCCTCATCTTTAAAATAAGGAGACTAGATTAGATGATTTCTCCCTGGGCTAAAAATCCACGATTTTAGTACCTTACAACCTTTGCAAAATGTAAGGAAAAGATGCATCAGCACTATTCCACATGGCAATTCTATTTTCTAGTTTATTGTCCTCTCCTCTCCCTAAGAGAGTGACTGCCTAATGTGTTATCAGGGGCCCCTTATACAGATGGATGGCAAAGATTTTCCTTTTGTTTCTGGGGGAAATAAACAGAAAGTGGGAGACAGGAATAAATTTTAAAGGCTGGGTAAGGGACCAGCCAAGAAGGCATAGCTGAAAGAATTTTTGTCCCTTAGGTAAATATTATTTTTGCATTAACCACATGTTGCAAAAAGTAAAGAACATTATATACAGGAAAAAGACCTCAATTCCAAAATGTGGGCATTTTCAAATTGTTAGGCAAACGTGCTTTCCTGATGGCCCATGAACATTTTGTATTTAAAATAAAAGTAAATAAAAGCTCTATGTTAATGCTGCTGATGTCTCCCAGAGCAAAAACAAGAAATGACCCTTTGCTGGGCTCCAAATGCCCCTTAGTTCATGTCTTTGTCATTGATCTCGACAATAAGACTATTTAGTTACTAGTGCGTCTGGCCCTCTGAATCAATAGCTCACAAATTTTTTGATCACACACTCCCAAAAAGGGTTAAAAATGCATGCCCCAAATACCCCCAAAATGTATGTCATTCATTTTTAAATTAAGCGTGCATCTTATTTTATTTAAATGTGCCTATTCAAATAGGCTTTATTCCTTTTGGAAATCATGGTTTATGAAAATGTAACAATTTTAAGATCTGGCTCAAAATTCAGTTTATTTTGATATTTGGTTTTAATGGCCATTGTATGACCTGCATATCCTGCATTAATAACCACCATTAATGGTCACCAAAATTATAAGATTAAATAATACAGGGGTCCAAATAGAAGAATCATGTCATTGGCCAAGCTTACTGAATCTTGATAATCATTTTTCAGTTATGCAAAAGTTTTAGTTCAAATCTTGTTAGTATATTTTTATATTCCCCAAGGCCTATTACTTTTTCTTGCAAATAAAATAAGAGGTGCAGCATTGTTAAATATATATATTTATTTTTAATAGGCTTTATTTAGACTTTAATTTTAATAGACTTTTAATTTTTAGAGCAGTTTTAGGTTCACAGCGAAATTGAGCAGAAAGTAAAGGGAGTTCCCATGTACCCCCTTCTCCCACACCACCTCCCCCACTTATCAGCATAGTGTAGCACAGTGGTAGATTTATTACATCACTGAACCTACACTGACACATCATCACCCAAAGTCCACAGTTTACATGAGGTCTACTCTTGGTGTCATACATTCTGTAGGTTTTGCCAAGCATATAATGACATACATCCACCATTATTGTATCATACAGAATAGTTCCACTACTCTAAAATTCCTTTAGGCTCAGCTTATTCACCTACCCCTCCCCAGAACTCCTGGTAACCACTAATCTTTTTACTGACTCCATTGTTTTGCCTTTCCCAGAATGTCATATTGTTGTGAGGTAGGAAGGGGAACTCAACTCTGGAGGTGGGCTTAGACATTGGACCAAATTAAGGACTAGCTAAAACAGGTCTGGGCAGAAGCACCTCCCCATAACACAGGCTCACCAGTGTGCCATGTCAGTTTACCACTGCCATGACAACACCCAGAAGTTACTGCCCCCTTTCCATTGCAACAACCCATCAACCCAGAAGTTACCACCCTCATTTTATAGATTTCTGCATAATCTACCATTAATTTGCATATAATTAAAAGTGGGGTTGAATATGAGTGCAAACCTGCCTCTGAGCTGCTACCCTGCACACCACTGCCTATGGGGTAACCCTGCTCCACAAGGAACAGTACTTCTGCCATGTCAATAAAAGTTGTTATTTAATACCACCCAGCCCACCCTTGAATTCTTTTCTGGGTGAAGCCAAAAACCTTCCCTGGCTAAGACTTAATACTGGGGCTTGCTTGTCCTGCATCAGTTGGACTCATGCAGTATGTAACCTTTTCTGATTGATTTCTTCTACTCACAGGCATTTGAGTTTCCTCCATGTCTTTTCATATAGTGTTGAATAACCATAGTTATTCATTGTATGGGTATACCACAGTTTATTTATCCATTCACCTACTGATGGACATATTGGTTTATTCTAAGTCTTGGCAATTATGCATAAAGAAGGTAGAAACATCCACGTGAAGGATTTGTGTGAACTAAGTATTCAATTCATTTGCATAGGTATCAAGGAAGTATACTTGCTGGATCATATATAAAATTTTTGTAAGAAACTGCCAAACTGTCTTCCAAAGTAGCTGTACCACTTTCATTCCTACTAGCAGTGAATAAGAGTTCCTGCTGCTATCACTTCTTGGCCTTTTGGCTAAGATGAAGTGTGGAGAATTCCTGTTGCTCCACATCCTCACCAGCATTTGGTGATCTCAGTTTCTGGATTTTTGCCCTTCTAATAGGTATGTAGTGATATCTCATTTTTCTTTTAATTTGCAAGTTCCTAATGACACATGATGTTGAGCAGCTTTTCACATGCTTATTTGCCACCTGTGTATGTTGTTTGGTGAGATCCATTCATATCTTCTATTTTTAAATATTGTTGTTGGTTTTCTTATTGTTAAATTTTAAGATTTTTTTGTGTATTTTGGGTTATAGTCCTTTATGAGATATGTCTTTTGCAAACATTTTCTCCCAATTTGCTGCCCATCTTCTAATTCTTTGTACAGTGTCTTTCATAGAGCATAAGCTTTTAATTTTAATGAAGTTTCATTTATCAGTAATTTCTTTGGTATTTTATCTAAGAAGTCATTGTCAAATCCAAGGTCATTTGCATTTCTTCTGTATCATCTAAGAGTTTTACAGTTTTGCATTTTATGTCTAGGTCCATTAGGTCCAAAATATAATCTATTTTGAGTTAATTTTTGTGTATAGTGTAAGGTCTGTGTCTATATTTATTTTTTTACATGTAATATCCAGGTGTTCACCAACATTTGTTGAAAAGACTATCTTCTCTTTATTGTATTGCTTTTGCTTTTTTGTTGAAGATCAGTTGACTATATTTGTGTAGCTCAATTTCTGAGCTCTCTGTCCTGTTCCATTGAAATAATTATTTATTATTTTGTCCATGCTATGCCTTCTTGGTTGTTGTAGCTTGACAGTAAGTCTCGAAGTCAGGTAGTGTAAGTCTTCTGACTTTGTTCTTCTCCATTAGTATTTTAGGCTACTCTTGGTCTTCTGCCTCTTCCCATATACTGTAGAAACAGTTTTTCAATATGCATGAATAGCTTGCTGAAATTTCAATGGGATTGCAACGAGTCAATAGATCAAGTTGGGAAAAACTAACATCTTAACAATTTAGAGGGTTCTTTTCCATAAACATGAAATGTCTCTCCATTCATTGAGTTTTCTATGATTTTCTTGATGAGTTCTGTAGTGTTTTTCATATAGATCTTGTATATATTAATTTATACTTAAACATTTTATTTTTAAGGTGCTAATGTAAATGGCATTGTGTTTTTAATTTCAAATTTCAGTTGTTCATTGCTATTATATTAGGAAAGTCATTGACTTGAATATTAACTGTAATCCTTTAAGGTAATACTTACTTGCTATAATCACTTATTCATTTTAGGAGGTTTTTTTTCCTATGTAAACAATGATATCATCCGCAAACAAAAATGGTTTCATTTCTTCCTGTTCTATATAATAATAAAATAATGAATGTTCTTTGTAAAAGAATATATAAAGGTAGCTATAAAGTAAAAAGTAAATGTTTTCCTCCCATTTCATATCTCACAAGTAACAACAATGAATGTTTTAATTGCCTCTTCTTTTAGGCATTTTATATATATATAGGCTTACATATGAGTATGTATTTTTAAAATTTTACACAGAATCTGATCTTATTATATTTGTAGTCTACAACTTGTATTTTCCCCTATTTATTCATATTAGGCTACAGATGTTTACATCACTAGTTTTCTAGCTTCATAGAAATCCTTTGTGTGGCTATACCACAAGATATTTAACTAGTATCCTATTGGTAGACACTTAATTGTTTCCAGTTTTTCAATGTTGCAAACAATACTACAGTGAATATCTCTGTTCATGTATTGTGTGCCCTTATGCAATAATATTTACAGTATAAAATGCCAGGGAGAGGCCGGGCACAGTGGCTCATGCCTGTAATCCCAGCACTTTGGGAGGCTGAGGTGGGTGGGTCACAAGGTCAAGAGTTCGAGACCAGCCTGGCCAATATGGTGAGGCTGAGGCAGAAGAATCACTTAAACAGAGGAGGCAGAGGTTGGAGTGAGCCAAGATTGCGCCACTGCACTCCAGCCTGGGCGACAGACTGAGATTCTGCCTAAAAAACAAAAAACAAAAACAGACAAACAAAAAATTCCTGTGAGAAGAACTGCTAGGCATAAAAAAGCCATATTTAAACTTCGATTAAAATTTCCAATTTCAGCTTTGACATGTAAAGAGCTTGGAAATCATTTGTCTTGTTCTTCAATAAAAAGCTGGAAAAATTAAAAATTAATGACTTTTCTTGGACTTATCAGAGAACTAATACGACAGGGCAAATCACTACCCCAAAATTAGTGGTGATAGGCACACTCCAGAGAGACACAGCCCAGATAGAAGCTGTGAGCGCCATAAATAGGAACACTCAAGACGAAGTTCTGATGAATTTCTGGAAGCCAAATATGGGAAAACGTGAAAACAAAAACTTCCTGAAGACTATGGTCTTGATGGGGTAGTCTCCATGCTTTTGTGGACTTTAACTACGTGAAGTCTACTGGGACCACAGTGTTTCTTTTTGAGACGGAGTTTCGCTCTTGTTGCCTAGAGTGGAGTGCGATGGCCTGATTTTGGCTCACCGCAATCTCCACCTCCCGGGTTCAAGCAATTCCCCTGCCTCAGCCTCCTCAGTAGCTGGGATTCCAGGCATGCACCACCATGCCTGGCTAATTTTGTATTTTTAGTAGAGACGGGGTTTCTCCATGTTGATCAGGCTGGTCTTGAACTCCCAACCTCAGGTGATCCGCCCGCCTTGGCCTCCCAAAGTGCTGGGATTACAGGCATGAGCCACCACACTCAGCCCAGACCACAGTGTTTCTTGCAGGGGGAAGAAAAGATACTCGATGTGAAATACAGTCAGATATTCTTCCCTAAGGACCTAATTGCCCGGGGTAAGTCTTTGCCAGAGCGTTATCCTAGATAGGGAAGGACACTCTTCCTACTGCAGCTCCATCTAGTCCTCCTTTCTCCCCTAAGGGGAAAATGTATATTATAAAGAGCATTCAGGCCTCCAGTAAATAGACTGGGAACACTGTAGTTGGGGAGTGGAGTAGGGGGAAAGGGAAATGTTATACAACTGGAGAAACACGTGTGAAGATCACAGCCCAGAAACATCAGCCCACTAAAAGACTCATCTAAATTGGAAGACTGTAGAATTCATTCCTCCCCAACACCTTAACAACACCGCCACAGGATTTCAATAAAATAACTGGAATAATTGTTGTACATTATACCTAAGAGAGACAGGAGACACAGGCTCTCTCTGAGTAGGAGTGCTTAGGGGAATTTCAAAATAAAGAGGAAAGACAAAAACAAGGACAGAGGAATGTAAAGCCTCTGACACCTGTAACTGAGCAATTTTTAAATGAAGTCCATTTTTAGCCAGATGTATACACATCTTTACACTAGAGAACTATTTACCTCTAATTCTTATTACCTGATAGATACAAAATGTCTTGGTTTCAATAAAAAATTATAAAGTGGCCAGGTGCAGTGGCTCACACTTGTCATCACAGCACTTTGGGAGGCTGAGGCAGGCAGATCACCTGAGGTCAGGAGTTCAAGACCAGCCTGGCTAACATGGTGAAACCCTATCTCTACTAAAAATACAAAAGTAGCCAGGCATGGTGGCGTGCGCCTGTATTCCCAGCTGCTTTGGAGGCTGAGGCAGGAGAATCACTCAATCCTGGGAGGTGGAGGGTGCAGTGAGCCAAGATTGTGCCACTGCACTTCAGCCTGGATGACGGAGCGAGACTCCATTTCAAAAAAAAAAAAAAAAAATATATATATATATATACACACACACACATACATATACATATACGCAGACACACACATACATATATATGTGTGTATATACGTATGCGTATATGTGTGTGTATATATGTGTGTGTGTGTGTGTATATATATATATATGTGTGTGTGTGTGTGTGTGTGTGTGTGTGTGTCATGGCAGAAACCAAGAAGAACTACCCAGTCTGAAAATACCAAGCATTCATCAGAACATGATTCATTCATGATAGAGATGCAGGAATCATCAGACTGAACACTTAAAATAACTATGATTGACATGTTAAGGGCTCTAATGGAAAAAGTAGGCAACAAGAAACAACAGAAGGTGATATAAGCAGAGAGATGGAAATTCTAAGTAAATATCAAAATAAAATGCTGGAAACCAGAAACATTGTAACAGAAATGAAAGATGTCTTTGAATACCTCATTAGTAGAGTAGACATGGACATAGAAAATATTAGTGAGCTTGAACATGGGTCAATAAAAACTTTCCACACTGAAATGCAAATGGGAAGATAATGAAGAAAACGAAGCAGAACACGACATTTGAGAATTGTGGGAGGGTTTCAAAAAGTATAATGAATGCATATACCAAACGGGAATAGAGAATGGAACAGAATAAATATTTGAAGTAATAATGGCTGAGAATTTTCCAGAATTAATGACAGACACCAAATTACAGATCATAGATACAGGAAGTTTAGATAACTCCAAGCAGAAAAAAAAAAAAATACACACACACACACACACATATATAAACTACTGTGGTATTGATGGGGTAGTCCCCACACTTTTGTGGACTTTAACTATGTGAAGTCTGCCAGGACCACAGTGTTTCTTGCAGGGGGAAGAAAAGATAATCACTGTGAAATACAGTCAGATCTTCTTCCCTAGATTCTTCCATTTATATATAAATATAAATATATAATATGTACTTTTATATATTATATATATATAAATAATATGTACTTTTATTTTATATATATTTATATAAATATAAATATATATTTTTATATATTATATATTATATATAATATATATTTTTATATATTATATATAATATATATTTTTATATATTATATATAAATATATATTTTTATATATTATATATAAATATAAATATATAATATATATTTTATATATAAATATAAATATATAATATATATTTTATATATAAATATAAATATAATATATATATTTATATAAATATATAAAATATATATTTATAAATATACTATATTTTATAGTATATTAAAAAATACTATAAAATTTATATATTTTATAGTATATAAAAAAACTATAAAATTTTAACTTTTATAAAATGTAAAAAGTATATAAAAACTATTTATATTTATATATAAATTTATACATAAATTTATAAACGTATAAATTTATACATAAATTTATAAACGTATAAATTTATACATAAATTTATAAACGTATAAATTTATACATAAATTTATAAACGTATAAATTTATATATAAATTTATAAACGTATAAATTTATATATAAATTTATAAACGTATAAATTTATATATAAATTTATAAATGTATAAATTTATATATATAAACTTATATATATATAAATTTATATATATTTATATAAACATATTTATATAAATATATAAAAATATATTTTATATATATTTTTTTATATATATATATAAAATACTGCACCTAGGCATATCATTCTATCTGCAGAAAACATAAAGACAAAGAGAACACTTTGAAAAAAGCCAGAAAGAAGAGGAAACTTCACCTCTAGAAGAAAAAGGATAAGAAGTACAGCAGGTGTTTAATTAGTAATGTGCAACCAAGATGACAGTGAAGTGAAATACTTAAAGCACTGAAAGAAAAAACAACACTAACATTAATCTGGAATTCTTTTTTTTTTTTTTTTCAGATGGAGTCTTGCTCTGTTTTCCAGGCTGGAGTGCAGTGGCGCAATCTTGGTTCACTGCAAGCTCCGCCTCCCGGGTTCACGCCATTCTCCTGCCTCAGCCTTCCAAGTAGCTGGGACTACAGGAGCCCACCACCATGCCCGGCTAATTTTTTGTATTTTTTAGTAGAGATGGGGTTTCACCGTGTTAACCAGGATGGTCTCGATCTCCTGACTTCGTGATCCACCCACCTCGGCCTCCCAAAGTGCTGGGATTACAGAAGTGAGCCACTGCGCCTGGCCACATTAATCTAGAATTCTATATCCAGCAAAATTACCCTTCAAAAGTGAAGGAGAAATAGAGGCTTTTTCATACAAATGGAAGCTAAAGAAATATATTACTGCTACATCTGCCCTTCAAGTTAAAAGTAGGAAACTATATAGGACAGAAACACGGATACATATAAAGAAGAGTGAGAAAGAATAAATGAATTAAAATGAAATCTTTTATTTTCTTTCTTCTTAACTGATCTGAAAGATAACTGTTTGTGGCCAGGCATGGTGGCTCATGCCTGTAATCCCAGCACTTAGGGAGGCCAAGGTGGGCGGATCACCTGAGGTTAGGAGTTCGAGACCAGCCTGGCCAACATGCAGAAACCTCGTCTCTACTAAAAATACAAAAATTAGCTGGACATGGTGGTGTGCACCTGCAATCTCAGCTACTTGGGAGGCTGAGGCAGGAGAATGCTTGAACCCAGGAGGTGGAGGTTGCAGTGAGCCAAGATTGCACCACTGCACTCCAACCTGGGTGAGAGAGTGAGACTCCATCTAAAAAAAAAAAAAAAAAAAGAGAGAGAGAAAAGATAACTGTTGGTTTAAAGCAATGAGAGTAATAAGAAATTGGGCCAGTAGATAAGTGCAGTAAATAAAAGTAATGTCATAAATGATGGTAGGAAGTAACTGGGAATGCTGTTTTGAAGTGCCTATGGTACATTTTCAATAATACAGAGTTATTTGAACGAAAACTTAGTTAAGTTTAAAATGAACATTGTAATCTCTAGGGCTATCATAATTTTTTAAAGAAGCGTAATTGATATGCTAATAGAAGATATAAATTATTTCTATTAATTTATATGCTAATCGAAACAGAAAATGAAATTGTATAAAATGCTCATTTAAAACCAGAGAAGGTAGAAAAAGGGGAGAAAGAAAGAAGAAAAATGCAACAAACAGGAGCTATAGATATAGTAGATATTAATCCAACCATATACATAAGTACTTTTAATACTAATGGCCTAAATATACCATATAGAAGACAAAGATTGTCAGAGAGGATAGAAAAAAACATATATATACTGTGCCTGGCATAGTATTATATGGCATGTAGGACCTAACTACGTGTTGTCTACAAGCAATGCACTTTGAATATAATGAGTCAGCTTGATGAAAAGTAGAGGGATAAAAAAAGATATAGAATGTTAACACTAATTTTAAAAAGTTGGATCAGTTAGATTAATTTTGGACAAAGCTGACTTCAGACAAGGAAGATTATCATCGATAAAGAGAGGTATTACATAATGATAAAGGAGTCAATTCCCCAAGAATATATAACCACCCTAAATGTGTACTGACCTACCAATAGAGCATCAAAATATATGAAGCAAAATCTAATAGAGTTGAAAGAAACATAGACAAATCTGCTATCATACTAGAGACTTCAGCACCTCTCCATCAGTAATTAATAGACCAACAGACCAAGCAGGCATAAAATCCATGAAATGTTCTGTCAGCCCACCCCAATAGCTGGAGTTACCCCAAAGCAGCAGCAGCAGAGTTCTTGCAAGAGACTGCCACAAGAACCCAAACCATCCTGAGATGGGGCCAGTTGAGATCTCAGAGAAAGAAGCACTAAACGCCAGGGTGATGATCAGTCTAAAGCATACAGTAAGGGGACCTACATGGGGTGGAGACTGCAACATGTCCTTTGGATGAACAAGAATACAGATGTTCTACTGAGGTGTCTCTGCAGTGAGAGGGTCAGATTATGGAATTTATGTGTGGGCTTAAAGAATTTGGCTAAAGGCCAGGTCTAGTTTCTACATGTTTAGCAACATTTTTTATATTTCCATGTTTCAGGCAACAACTTAAACAAGTTTATCAGGGCCTGTGAATGTTCAAAACCCCATCTTGGGTTCTTTTGTTATTTTGAGACAGGGTCTCCCTCTGTCACCCAGGCTAGAGTGCAGTAGCGCAATCCCAGTTAACTGCAGCCTAGACCCCCTGGGCTTAAGCGATCCACCTACCTTAGCCTCCCGAGTAGCTAGGACTACAGGTGCACACCACCACACACAGCTAATTTTTGTATTTTTTGTGGAGACAAGGTTTCATCATGTTGCTGGACTAGAACTCCTGGGCTGAAGCGATTCACCCGCTTCGGCATCCCAAAGTGCTGGGATTACAGGCGTGAGCTACCAGCGCCTGGCCCCCTGCTTGGGTTCTAACCTGCAAGGGAAAACATGCAGCTGGCCAGGTCAACACGGCAGTCAAGGACTGTTGTTTCTAGGTCAGGACACAGAAAAAAAAAGTAGGGAGAGAAAGGAAACTGGGGGACCCTACAAGGTATAACTGAATAATATTATCAATCAATTTAATTGAATTAAAATTTATAGGATACTCCACTCCAAAGCAGCTGAATGCATATTCTTTTTTATTTCACATGGAACTTTCACCAAGATAGACCACATTCTAGGTCATAGAACACATCTCAAGAAATTTAAAAGCATAGAAAGTATGCCACATATGTTCTTACACCACAATGGAATTAAACTAGAAAATCTCCAAGTATTTGGATTTTACACAACATACTTCTAAGTAACTGATGAGTTAAAAAAGGAAGTCTCAAAGTAAATTTAAAACATTTTGAACTGAATGAAAATTAAAATGCAACTGATCAAAATTTGTGGGATGCCTCAAAAGCAGTTCTTGGAGGGACATTTATAGCATTACATGCATATATTAGAAGAAAATCACAAACTAATATAGTAATTTCCAACTTGGAAAAAAATAGAAAGAAGACCAACAGCCTAAAGCAAGCAGAAAAAAAAGTAGAGCAAAAATCAATGTCATGGAAAATAGGAAAATAATAAAGAAACTCAACAAAACCCAATATTTGTTTTTTATTTAAAAATCAGTAACACAAAGGCCAGATGCAGTGGCTCACACTTGTTATCCCAACACTTTGGGAGGCCAAGGCTGGAGGATCACTTGAAGCCAGGAGTTCAAGACCAGTCTAGGCAACATAGTGAGATCTCTTCTCCACCAATAATTAAAAAAAAAATTAGCTGGGCATGGTGGCATGTGCCTGTAGTCCCAGCTACTCAGGAGGCTGAGGTGAAGACTGGTTTAGCCCACGAGTTTGAAGCTGAAGTGGGTTATAATCACACCAGTGCACTCCAACCTGGGTGACAGAGGGAGAACCTATCTCTAAAAAGAACAATAAAATAAAAAAAAATAAATCTTTAAGGAATTTCCATACTGTTTTCTATAGTGGTTGTACTAGTTTACATTCTCACCAACAGTATAAAAGTGTTCTCTTTTCACCATATCTGTGCCAACATTTGTTATTTGATTTTTAAATTATGGCCATTCTTGCAGGAGCAAGGTGGTATCACATTGTGGTTTTGGTTTGCATTTCCCTGATAATTAGTGATGTTGAGCATTTTTTTTCATGTTTCTTGGCCATTTGTATATCTTCTTTTGAGAATTTTAGCTCACTTTTTGATGGGATTTTTTTTTTCTTGCTGATTTGTTTAAGTTCCTTATAGATTCTGGATATTAGTCCTTTGTTGGATGCATAGTTTGCAAATATTTTCTCCCACTCTGTGGGTTGTGATTTCCTCTGCTGATTATTTATCTCACTGTGCAGAAGCTTTTAGTTTAATTAAGTCCCATCTATTTATCTTTGTTTTTGTTCTATTTGCTTTTGGGTTCTTGGTCATGAACTCTTCACCTAGGCCAATGTCTAGAAGAGTTTTTCTGACTTTATCTTCTAGAATTTTTAAAGTAGAACTACCATTGATCCAGCAATCCTGCTACTGGGCATCTACCCAGAGGAAAAGAAGTTATTATATGAAAAAGACACTTGTACATTCATGTTTATTACAGCACAATTTGCAATTGCAAAAATATGAAGCCAACCTAAATGCCCATCAACCAATGAGCAGATAAACAAAATGTGAAATATAGATATATCATAGACTACTACTCAACCATAAAAAGGAATGAAATAATGGCATCTGCAGAAATCTGGATGGAACTGGAGACTATTACTGTAAGTGAAGTAGCTCAGAAATGGAAAACCAAACATCGTATGTGCTCACTTATAAGTGGGAGCTAAGCTATGAGGATGCAAAGGCATAAGAAGGATACAATGGGCTATGGGGATTTAGGGGAAAAGGTGGGAGGGGGGTGAGGAATAAAAGACTACACGTTGGGTAGTCAGGTGGTACTGTTCAGTTGGTGGGTGCACCAATATCTCAGAAATCACACTTAAAGAACTTATCCATGTAACCAAACACCACCTGTTCTCCCAAAACTATTGAAATAATAATAATCTGAAGATTAAAGATCAATAACACGATAAAACCCCTAGCCAAGATAACCAAGAACAAAGAGAGAGAAGGCACAAATTTCCAATTTCAAAAATGAAAGGAAGATCAAGAATAATACAGGAATACTATAAGCAACTCTCTGCTCTCAAATTTGAAATGGACCAATTTCTTAAAAGATACAAACTACAAAAACCCACATAAGGAGAAACAGATAACTGGAATATCCTTATATTAATTAAAGGAATTGAATAGATAATTAAGAATTAACTATCTTTCCACCCCAAACCCCACCAATCTCAGGTGTTTTCAATGGTGAATTCTACCGAACACACAAAAAAGAAATAATATTAATTATTTGCAATCACTTTCAGAAAACAGAATCACAGGCAATACTTCTTAACTTACTAACTTAATGTTCTTAAGCCAGCATTATCCTAATACTAAAACCAGACAAAGACATTAAGGAAAGAAAATCTATACAGCAATATCTCTCATAAATGTAGATTTTTTTAAGAAGTCTTCAATCAAATACTAAGAGATTCATTCCAACAATGTATATAAAAAGAATTATATATCAGGACCATTTGGGATTTATTTCAAGTATGGAAGACTGGTTCTACATTCAAAAATCAATCAATATAAGTAATCTTATCAACAGGCTAGCAAAGAAAAATCATACAATCAGGTCAATTCTTGCAGAAAAGAACTGTCAAAATTCACTACCCATTCATGACAAAAACTCTAGCAAACTATGAATAGTTGGGAAATTCTACAAGTTGATAAAGAATATCTTCAAGAAAACCTACAGCTTATACCAAACTTCACAGTGAGAGACTGGACATTGTCCTGAAATTGAGAATAAGGCAAAGATATTATCTCTCACCATTCTTACTTATTGCAAATTGTATTAGAAATTGTAACTTTTATAAGAAAAAAGAGATAAAAAAGTATACAAATTAGAAAAGACAAATTAAAACTATTTGTAGACAACATGATTGTCTATGTAGAAAATCGCAGAGTATTTATGAAAGTCTCCTGTAACTAATGAGTGAGTGTAGTAAGGTTGAAAAATACAAGATCAATAAAAATGTCAAGGTTTTTCTCTTTAACAGCAATGAACACAGGATTTGAATTAAAAAAATACTATTTAGAAAACCACCAACAATAAAATATTTAAGTACAAATCAAACACAATAGATATAGGATCTGCATGTGGAAAACTACAAAACACTGATGAAAGAAATTTAAGATCTAAATGAATGGAAAGATATTCCATGCTCATAAATTGGACGACGCAATATTATTAAGATATTAATTTATCCTAACTTGATTTATGGATGCAACATAATATTAATAAAATTCTAATAAGCTATTTGCAGATATTGGCAAACTAATTTTAAATTTTAAGGGGAAAGACCAAGTACTTAGAATAACCAAAAGAATACTGAAGATGAACAAAGCTAAATGACTCACTTTACCTGATTTCATGACTTACAGAAGTACAGTAATCACAACAGTACGGCATTGGCAAATAATGGACACAAAGGTCAATGGAACAGAATAGAGAGCCCAGAAATAGACCCACACAGACATAGCCAATTTATTTTTGACAAAGGACCAAAGACATTTCAAGTGACTTTAGTGATGAATTGTTAGACACAAAATCAAAAGAACAATCTATGAAAGAAAACACTGATAAGTTGGACTCCATTAAAATTAAAAAGTGCTGCTCTGTGAAAGACACTGTCAGAATGCAAAGACAGCCATAGGATAGAAGAAAATACTGGCAAACTATATATCTAATAAAGGATTTGGAACCAAAATATATTCAGAACTCTTAAACTCAATAAGAAAACAAACAATCCAATTAATAAATGGACAAAAGATCTGAGCATCTCACCAAAGAAGGCAAACCAAAGTTGCCAGGTGTTTGGTTGGAGGAGCGGACTGATTATACAGATGGCAAATAGGCAGAGGAAAATACGCATAACATCATTTGTCATTAGGGAAATGCAAATAAAAACGACAGTGAAATACAGCTAACTACCTATTAGAAAGGCTAAAATCCAAAAAAACTGACAATACCAATTGCTGGCAAGAATGCAGAACAGCAGCAAATTTTATTCCTTGCTGGTGGGAATGCAAAATGGTACAGTTACTCTGGAATGCAGTTAAGCAGTTACTCACAAAGCTAAATGTAGTCTTACCAAATTATTTAACAGTTGTGTTCCTAGGAATGGGCAAAATTGATTTGAAAATTTGTGTTTACTCAAATCCCTGAATGCAAATGTTTATAGCATCTTTACTCATAATAGTAAAAAACTGGAAGCAACCAGGATATTCCTCAATGGGTGTAAAGATAAATAAACTCTGGCACATCTATACTTGGAAATTGATGTAGCAATAAAATGAAATGAGTTATTAAGCCTCACAAAAACAAGACTGAATGTTGGTGCATATTGCTAAGTGAAAAACGCCAGTTTAAAAACACTACATGTTGTATAATATTTATATAATATTCTAGAAAAGCCTAAAATGTAGAAATGGTAAACAGATCAGTAATTGCCAGCCTGTGGTTGTGGGAGGGGGCTGGTTAGGTGAGGAACAGAGGATTATTGAAACTATATTGGGTGATACTGTGATACTATAATTTTGGTTACATGACACTATGCATTTGTCCACAGAACTTTACAGCACAGACAGTAGACCTTCCTGCAGGCAAATTAAAAAAAAAAAAATCATTTAGGAGGTTGACAGATCCCAAGATAGAATGCAGACTGTGACAAAAGAGTCTAACGTATTACGTGTATGAAGCAACCTCACTGAAGGAAGTAGGGGAAAGAAGTGCTGACCTAAGTGACTTTGGAAATGAACAGACTCTGGAAGACTAAAGGCAAAATTAACTGCGCATAAGCCTTCTACTCTAGTTGATAAAGTTATTTCCCCAGGAGGTATGGGTTAACAATTCTAAAACCACTATACATGTAAACTGATCTGCAACTGAACAATTAAGTAAATGGATGGTGGATGGTGGGAGACAGGCTTCTCACTGCTGGAGTGGGAGATTACAAATAAGCTTGGGAAAAAAGCTAGAATAATCCATGAGGCAGTGAATTAGAATTGGAGACCTCAGTAAGAATTCATGTTTTGCTTAACATAGATAAGACTGTTTACATATAGAAACATACAGAAATATTTATAAATATGTATACATAAAGGGTTTAGTATACACACATATATTTTCTCATCTTGCCTGCTGAAAAGACCTGAAAGCAAAGATAACCTAGTAGCAATAAGCATGGCTTGTACCCCAATCTCAGTTTCTATTATCATTTTCTAATAAAAAGAACTAGGGCTTCCTCGAGAAATGGCTAATTCTAAGGCTGGAGAAGTAAATATACAAGATAAGCCTAGAGCGTCTTGTGGTGCTAGAAAATAGAAAAACGTTTTTTTAAAAAAAATTGGAATAATTTGAGCAACAAGATAAAGTAGCCTTAGATTGTAATGCAGAGTATAAAATAAAAATCTATAAATCAAAACTGACATAAATAAATTATTGAATAGCGGAAAAGACAAAAATCTCCCATGCAGAAGAATTTCAAATAATTTATGTAGATAATCCACCGTCAAGGAATGGGAGCAAACCTCTCCACTCCTTAAGTATGGACTGTACAAAGTGATTTCTTTCCAAAGAGTATCCTGTACTTTGGAAATGGGGGAAAAAAATAGAATACAGAGAAGAAACCTGAGAAGCACTTCCTTTACCAGGTGTTCAAGATTAACATCAATAAGAAGTCATATTGAGAATTTACGCTGGTAAGATATGATATGATAATGGCATTTTACCTCTTTGATCTTTCTCCCAAGAACATATTATCCCGGTTGAGACATGGAAAAAAAAAAAATCAAACAATCACAAGTGAGGAACATTCTAGAAAATACCTAACCAGCACTCTTTGAAACTGTCAACATCATCAGAAAGAAGAGAAAAGATTGAGAAGCTGTCATAGCAAAGAGGGGCCTAGAGAGATATGAGGACTAAATGTAATATGGTGTCCTAGATGAATCCCGGAACAAAAGAGGCACATTGGGTAAAAACTAAGGAAATCTGAGTGAAGTGATGACTTAGTCATAAGGTATCAATATTAGTTCATTAGTTGTGACAAATATACTATAGTAATGTAATATCTTAATACGGGAAACTGGGTGTGGTGTGTATAGAAATTCTCTGTACTATATTCTTGATTTTTCTGTAAATCTAAAATTATAAAATTTAAAATTAAAATGTTTATTGATACTGACAAGTGACTCCATAAAAATGTGTCAGTGTTACACTTCAGCCAACTATATATGAGAGTTTGTTTCTCTGTACCCTTGACAAAGTTGAACATTATCAATCCTCTTAGTATTTGTACATTTGAGAGGTGACAAATGATATCAATTACAAGGGAGATTTAGCATCTTTCTACTTATTGACTGGTCATTTACATTTCTTTCTCTATAGCTGTATGTTGCTATCCTCTGCTAATTTTTCAATCTGGTCATTGATCTTTCTTTTCTGCGTAGAACTTTTGGCATGGTTAAAAAAATTTCCTTTTCTTTCATAGATTTGAAAATATTTTTAGACTATTTTCTTTTGACATTCTCTAAATTATTTTAAGTGTGGAAAATTTATTAAAATTAATGGCAAAAACTGCAATTACTTTTGCACTAACCTAATAACTGCTTTATAAAATGAAATCTCTCTTTATTTTTTTACAATTTCAGGGTTTAATCATGCTTCTATCTTATTCCCGAATTAAATCATCAGTGGCTTAATTACTGTGTATGGGTCCCTTTAAGCCAGCACCTAATAATTTTAGGTGTTCTTGAAAGGATGTTGCAAATGGGTTCACAACTCCACTGTCAGCTCAAATTCTTTCTGGGCTTTGGTCTGTTTCCTCTCCTGCCATGTCACTTGTTTTCTGAAAGGCATGTGGAGGCAGGTGCCTGTGTCTATCCTAGAGACACCAACACTCATGAGTGAGAAGAATGTTGTCCTTATATGATCTCAGATGCCAGTCCTCAGGATGTCAGAATAGGTTTGGTTGGTTCAGTGTAGTGGCACAAATGTCTCTCTTTGTAAAGTGCCTTTTTCATGTAGTTTCTGTATACGCCTGGCAAATCACCAGTTATTCTTAATATCCTTTGATGGTTTCTCCTAACTTCCTGTTGATTCAATGCTATATTTATCCATCAGGAATCAGGCACTGATTGCTTCTTTGTCTAACAGCATTCACTTTTTTAGTGATCTCAGTTAATTTCATGGCAATAAGCTAATGCTTCCCTGCTATGTAGTCTCCGGTATAATTGTACCCTGAACCTATCTCCTTCTTTAGATTTATATACCCAAGTGCCAGTTAAGTATTTCCACTTGCTTATCTAATAGACAACTCATGATTAACAAGTCCAAAATTGACTCCTTATCCTCACTCCCAAGTCTTCAGCCCTCAGTAACTGATAAATCCATATTTCATCTGCTCAGTCCAAAAATGTGGGAGTCATTCCTTGTAGTTCACATCACACCCCATATCCAATCTGTCTGGAAATTCATCTAGTTCCAACTTCAATATATATTCATAACCCAAACAGTTTTCAACGCTCCTACTGATATGTACCTGGTCCAAGACACCATCCTGCCCTGTCCTCTTTCTTCTAGAATTCTGCTCAAGCCCCTACCTGGCCTTCCTATGTACGCCCTTTGGTCCTACAATCTATCTCTATATATTCCCCAGAAAGATCCTTTTAAAACATGTCAGAATATTTTACTTCTCTGCTCAAAATTCTCACATGGCTTCCCATATTACTCATTAAAGACTCACACCTTCACAATTGGCCTTAAAGCCCTACATTAGTTCATCCCTCTGCTATTTTGCTGACTTCATCTCCAATACGCCCTACTCACTCACTGAGCTCCAACCATGGTTTTTTTTTTTTTTTTTTTTTTTTTTTTTGCCATTTTTTGAATACACTAAGAAGGTATCCTTAGAGCCTTGGCAGTCGCTGTTTCCTCGACTGGAATGCTCTTTTCCCAGATAAGCACATGTCTTACTCTCTTTTCATTTGGTTCTCTGCTCATATGACATTTCCTCATAGAGGTCTCCCCCAGACATCCTATCTAAAATAGTAACTCCCCCAGCACTCTCTGCTTTATTTTTCACCACTGCCTTGTTGCCAACCGACATGCTATACTTGTTTATTGTCTAGCTGCTTCTACTGGCATACAAACTCTATGTAGAAGATATATTTTATTATATTCATGGCTATTTCTCTAGCAAAAAGAACAATGTCTCTCTTTTTTTTTTTTTTTTTTTGATGGAGTTTTGCTCTTGTCGCCCAGGCTAGAGTGCAATGGCATGATCTCAGCTCACTGCAACCTCCGCCTCCCAGGTTCAAGCGATTCTCCTGCCTCAGCCTCCCAAGTAGCTGGGATTACAGGTGCCCGCCAGCATGCCCGGCTAATTTTTGTATTTTTAGTAGAGACAGGGTTTCACCATGTTTGCCAGGCTGGTCTTGAACTCCTGACCTCAGGTGATCCACATGCTTCGGCCTCCCAAAGTGCTGGGATTACAGGCATGAGCCACCACACCCAACCAAATAGAACAATGTCTAGAACTTAGTATATATCAATAAATATATGTTGCATAGGCGAATACATTTCATTATGTGCCTGACAACCAAACCTGTGGTAGACACAAAACTCTAGATCTGATCCCGTCTCTTGCCCATTTTCCCTCCTGAGCTGTGTCCATATTTGCATTCCCTGGTGCCTCACTGGTGAGCACAGTATAGGCATTTATTGCTTTCTTGGTAAACAGAATTAAATTCCAAGGGCCTTGGCAAACTAGAGGGGGGAGCCAAAAGACCAGAACAGAGACTCTGGGAGCAAGTTGAGAAGATGCCACTGGGGAGAATAACAGAAGCACAAAGAAGAGATGGCTGGAGAGTGGTATTGAGCCAGATCTAGTGTCAAGGTGTGCTATGAACTGTTTGTGTATCCAAAATTTGTATATTGAAACTAGTCACCAGCATGATGATTTTAGGAGTTGGGGACTTTGGCAGGGGAATAGGAAATGAGGGAAATGTCTCCATGAATGACATTAGTGTCCATATAAGATACTTTACCCCGGAGGGGCGTGGTGGCACACACCTGTATTTCCAGCACTTTGGGAGGCCAATGTGGGCCATTCACGAGGTCAAGAGTTCAAGACCATCCTGCAACATGGTGAAAACCTGTCTCTACTAAATATACAAAAATTAGCTTGGCGTGGTGGCACGTGCCTGTAGTCTCAGCTACTCAGGAGGCTGAGGCAGGAGAATCACTTGAACCCGGGAGGCAGAGGTTGCAGTGAGCCGAGATCGCGCCACTGTACTCCAGCCTGGCGACAGAGCAAGACTCCAACTCAGAAAAAAAAAAAAAAAAAAGATACTTTACCCCTTCCACTATGTGAGGACACAGTGAGAAGGTGCCATCTGTGAACCAAAAAGCAGGCCCTCACCAGATGCAAATCTCCAGGCACCTTGATCTTGGACTTCTCAGTCCCCAGGACTATGAAAAATAAATTTAGGTTGTTTACTACCCAGTTTATAGTATTTTGTTATAGCACCACTAATAAACTCAGACAAGGCTGATGCAGAGATAAACATAATTCCACCATTTTTTTTGTGCTGTTTTACTTCCACAGGCTCTCAGTTTCATTTTATTCATTTCCAATTTCCATCTAAAGGTAGCAGGATCATATGGTGGAAAAAGTCCTGGACTTGGAAATCAGAAAGACCTGGGTTAGAATGCTGGCTCTGATAATCAGGGCTGAACAAACTTGGATAAGTCATTTAATCTTTGGGAATGTCTCCTTCTCTGGGTTTGCAAGAGTATTAAGAAATAAATACCATTGCACTCCAGCCTAGGCAACAAGAGTGAAACTCCATTATCAAAAAAAATAATAATAATAAAAGAAAAGAAAGAAAGAAATGGGAAAAAAAACCTTAATATCCCCTACACAACACAGAGCAGTTATTCAGTAAATGTAAAATAAACCTATTCTGTTGGCAGGAATTGACAGACTCTTGATATATGATGTTACATCCTTCTTGCTTTATTTATTTAGCATCAGCTGGTGGAATTAGTCTCATCTGTTTGCCTTTCTTTTAGACTCTTTTTCCACTCCTTCCTTCCTTGAATGTCCTCTTGTCTGATTCTATGGACCCACGGAATCCTTGTGTCAATCTGCTTTTTCTCTTTATTTGGAAGATGCTAAACTTCAACTTTTAGAACACACAGGAGCAAAAGAGAAGATGGTTCGGTTTTTTTTTTTTTTTTTTTTTGGACGAAGTCTAACTCTGTCGCCCAGGCTGGTGTGCAGTGCCACGATCTTGGCTCACTGCAACCTCTGCCTTCTGGGTTCAAGCGATTCTCATGCCTCAGCCTCTCAAGTAGCTAGGATTACAGGCGCCCACCTCCACCTGGATAATTTTTGTATTTTAGTTGACGGGGTTTTACCATGTTGGCCAGGCTGGTCACAAACTCCTGACCTCAGGTGATCCACCCGTCTCGACCTCCCAAAGTTCTGGGATTACAGGTATGAGCCACCATGCCCGGCCAGTTGGATATTTTTATCCTGAGAATTGGAGGCACCAATTTGTATATATTAATATATATACTGTCTGTCTCTCTTTCACACACACACATACACGGACACACACAAACACACACACACACACACACACACACACACACACACATTTAGGAGCCATGGGGATAGAAAGGAGTGAACATGGAAAGGAGGTAGTTTCAAAACCCCTGCCCCAGCATTGCTCACTTTAGAAGCAGAACTGCTTCACGGAGCCCCTGGGAAGCCCTGTAAATGTATCTCTCATTGTATGATGTCAGCAGGTTCCCCACCGGGAAGCAGTAAGGGCAGGTGAGGGTTTCGAATTGCCAGAGCTCTTGGGGCGCTTGGTGCTTGGCACGGCCTTGATGAGAATGCACATGGCCACCCTCAGGAGCTCTGGCTTCTGACCCACAGGAGGGAAAAAGAGACTCCAGAATTAGGACTGAACTTAAATTCTGGGAGAAGGGACCGTCTCCAAGACCAGTGAGCATTATCCCCGAGTGACACACTTGACAACATTAGAGAAAGTGAAAGCTCCCTCCAGATGCCTCTGTCTCCACGGCTACTGCAATTTTCTTCAGCTTCCCTCTGAGTTCCAATCCACTGCAGAGCAATTTTCATCTGAATTAAAACAAAGCCTTCCTTCCAGGATGGTGTCCTCAAAAGGTACACACCTTTTAGGGCCAAAAAAATCTATGTTTGAATTCCACCTCTGCCAGTTAATGCTGGTTAGTTTTAGGAAAATCAGCTAATGTCTCTGAGACTGTTTCCTATCTATAAATTGAGAATGATAATACCTGTTTCACAAAATCTAAAATATTAAACGAGAAAGCATATGTGTAACATGAGCCTGCATTTGTCAATCATTTCTCATCTATATAGAATACACCCACGTCACAAAACCTCTTTATCTTTTCCAGTTTTAGGGAGAATTTCTGAAGCCTAGGATTCCCTTGTAATGTGATTTGAGCTCCTGTCATTGATACTACACTGTACCTCCCCTATTACTTCTCCAATGTTGATCTCTCCTACTCACCTTTCCTCTTCAGAAGACAACATGGCCAACCTTCGAACACTCTACTCAGCTGGTCCTCCAAGAACTGGACTCTTTGAATACTCTCATACCCCACACCTCTGCTTACCAGCCAAGGAGACCCAAATATTATATACTTGTAGATAAAGACAACGGAGTATGTCAGTAATGCATAATTCTTCGCTTTAACCCTTGCCCTCCTAACCTCCATTTTCTATATAGCCATAAAACTGCCCTTTTTTGTGGCTGTGTAGTATTCCATAGTGTATATTTACCACATTTTCTTTATCCATTACACCACAGATGGGTGCCTAGGACGATTCCATGTCTTTGCTATTGTGAATGGTGCTGCAATGTACATAGAAGTGCATCTTTCTTTTTGGTAGAACGGTTTATTTTCCTTTCAGTATATACCTAGCAATGGGACTGCTGAGTCAAGTGGTAGTTCTGTTTTAAGTTATTTGAGAAATTTCCAAACTCCCTTCTGCAGTGGTTGAACTAATTTATATTCCCATCAATCGGGTATGAGAATTCCCTTTTCTTAATGGAGGTCATTGCCCTAAGCAGATTAAGTCAGGAACAGAAAACCAAATACCACATGTTCTCACTTTTAGGTGGGAGCTAAACATTGGGTACCCATGGACACAAAGACAGGAGCAAAAGACACTTAGGGCTATTAGAGGGGAGAGGGAGGGAGATGAGCAAGGGGTTAAAGAACAACCTGTTGGGTACTATACTTAGTACGTGGGTGGTGAGATCAGTTGTACCCCAAACCTCAGCATCACACAATACACCCATGTAAAAGTCTGCACACGTACTCCCTGAATCTAAAATAAAAGTTGAAAAAAAATGCTTATTTTAAAATTTATAAGGATCTCACTCCTCTGCTACAATATTCCAATGACCTCCAATCTCATGAAGAGTAAAAGTAAAGACCTTTAACCCATTTATGCCGCAGGTTATAATTTTGTGTGTGTGCATGCATGTGCGTGTGTGTGTGTGTGAAAAATCAGACCTTGGCAATGACCTTGAGCAGTAGGATATAAATAACTCCCACAAGCTTAGGATTCCAATAATGGAACACTAGGCATAAACAAACGGGTTGAGCTCCCCTGCAAGGTCCTCTCTTGTTCTTCCCTTTGTTTCCCAGGCTGCCACTTTCTTCTCTGGGGTGATAAGCAGCTGCTATGAGTGGTATGTAATTCCGTCATTCATTTCACTACCAGATTGACAGAATAATCTTCCTAAATAATCAGTCTCACTACTTCACTCTTTTCTTAAAAACTTTTACTGATTTATTTTTATTTATTGGGGAATGCTGCAGGAACTGATTTAGTTCATAAGCTCTTCAGTCAGACGAAATCTTGACTTCACCTCCTGGGATCTCTGTGACGTTAACACAGATCTCTTTGGCTCACTTTACTAATTAAATCTCTCTTTGGCTCACTTTACTAATAAAATATGAATAAGCATAACACCTGATGTAAAATCTCTAGTACAATACCTACTCCCTAGTAAGTAATAAAAAATGACAACTATATTTGCTGAATTACATAACAGGACAACAGACTCTTGGTAGTGTCATGCAAGATCCTTTTTAATATCATTTAAACCTATCTCACTTTTAGATTCATCTGGCATATCTGTCCTAATGAATAGTGCTCACTAGCTATAGTTAACTTTTCATTATTACCTAAGGAAAGTGTATTTTTCATGATTGCCTTTCCTTAGCATAGCCTGGCCTTCACCTCTATTTCCACCTGGCAAGTTTCCATTCAACCTTCAAGACCCAGTTCAAAAATCGAGTTAAGATGGTAGACTGAGGTCACCTACATTTTATACCTTCTTCACAAAAATCTCTTGGAATAATGGAGAACATATTGTTTTAAAAACCCCAAACCAATAAATGGTTAACAATGCTGGAAAACGCAAGAGAAGGTGATCAATGGACTGTAATTTTGATGTATATTTAAAATATAGAAAGCAGTCAGAATATCTCTACTTCTGGTTATCTGGGGAACTTTTTGAAAAACTTCTGAAGAAAAAAACATGCTTAGAAATGATAGATAAACTGTAACAAACATTCTTTCAGATGCATAGCTGAGCTACTGAGAAAGAAAGATATATCTTCAGGGACCTAAACAGAGGGACGAGTGAAAATTAAATTTGTAAGCTGCCACCCATGCAGCAACTATCCTGGGAGCATTTGCTATGCTTACTAGCCAAGAGGTTTGAGTTTTAATGCCTGCCAGGGAAGAAAACAAGGCCTTTTGCCTTTTAAAAATGGAAGTTGGAATCTAGACCTGTGTAAACCTGGAACCCTTAAGGGGCTATACTGCAGGTAAAATGATATGCTAGAATAATATCTCTCTGCCAACAAAGGAAACTAAAAGGAAAATTGTCTGTCCCAGGATGGGCTTTGGGGGAAAAAAAATCTTCCCTGCCTATTTATAACCACAGCTCTCTATTATGAGGAATTAGGGTCTAAGAAACCCTAAGCACATCAGGGCCCCATTTATTAGGAAGTGAAAATTCTCGCCGGAGAGAAAGACCTTCCATGCATTCTTCACAGGGCTTTCAAAGCTGAAGAAGCACTGAAAAGGGTATCTAAGTTCAAAAAGAAAAGCATAAAAACAAAATAAATCAAGCAAGAGAACAGGAGTCAGCAGAAAGAACAAACACCAAAATTAGACCCTCAATAACACTGGCTAATAAAATTACTGGATTCAGAATATAAATAAGTAAAAAAAAAAAAAAAAAAAAAAGCAGAAGTGAAGCTATAAGAAATCAACCATATACAATAAAAAATATAAAGTAGGACCTTCAACAAAAAGAAAACAAAGAGACTGCTTAAAAAATGGGCCAAAGACCTTAACAGACACCTCACCAAAGAATATATATATATATATATATATATATATATATAGCAAATAAAATATGAAAAGATTCTCCATATTGCATGCCATCATATATAAATGCAAATTAAAACAACGAGATGCCACTACACAGCTTTTGGAATGGCCAAAATTCAGAACACTGACAACATCTAGGAGGAATTTTCAATGCACCTGTATTCAAATTTCTAGGAAAGAAATGGAGAGAAAGAAATGGAGAGAAAGGGGATTTGGCAATTAAAGATATGATGAGTAATGATTTTCTACAGTCAATGAAGGAATCGTGCTTTCAGATTTAGAAAGCACAATAAATACTAAATAAAATCTGGGTATTTAAAATTTTCGTAGTTTGATATTTTAAAAATCTACATTTGAACAAGTTGCTATTATACTGGAAAGCACAAAAATAGAGAGAACTGGCCGGACATGGTGGCTCACACCTGTAATCCCAGCACTTTGGGAGGCCGAGGCAGGCAGATCACAAAGTCAGGAGATCGAGACCATCCTGGTTAACAGGGTGAAACCCCGTATCTACTAAAATACAAAAAATCAGCCAGGCGTGCTGATGGGCACCTGTAGTCCCAGCTACTCGGGAGGCTGAGGCAGGAGAATGGCGTGAACCTGGGAGGCAGAGCTTGCAGTGAGCTGAGATCGCGCCACTGCACTCCAGCCTGGGCAACAGTGAGACTCCATCTCAACCACTGCTCAATGAAATAAAAGAGGATACAAACAAATGGAAGAACATTCCATGCTCATGGGTAGGAAGAATCAATATCGTGAAAATGGCCATACTGCCCAAGGTAATTTATAAATTCAATGCCATCCCCATCAAGCTACCAATGACTTTCTTCACAGAATTGGAAAAAAACTACTTTAAAGTTCATATGGAACCAAAAAAGAGCCCACACTGCCAAGACAATCCTAAACCAAAAGAACAAAGTTGGAGGCATCACGCTACCTGACTTCAAACTATACTATACTACAAACTATACTACAAGTAAACAAAACAGCATGGTACTGGTACCAAAACAGAGATATAGATCAATGGAACAGAACAGAACCCTCAGAAATAATGCCACATATCTACAACTATCTGATCTTTGACAAACCTGAGAAAAACAAGCAATGGGGAAAAGATTCCCTATTTAATAAATGGTGCTGGGAAAACTGGCTAGCCATATGTAGAAAGCTGAAACTGGATCCCTTCCTTACACCTTATACAAAAATTAATTCAAGATGGATTAAAGACTTAAACGTTAGACCTAAAAGCATAAAAACCCTAGAAGAAAACCTAGACATTACCATTCAGGACATAGGCATGGGCAAGGACTTCATATCTAAAACACAAAAAGCAAAGGTAACAAAAGCCAAAATTGACAAATGGGATCTCATTAAACTAAAGAGCTTCTGCACAGCAAAAGAAACTACCATCAGAGTGAACAGGCAACCTACAAAATGGGAGAAAATTTTCGCAACATACTCATCTGACAAAGGGCTAACATTCAGAATCTACAATGAACTCAAACAAATTTACAAGAAAAAAACAAACAACCCCATCAACAAGTGGGCAAAGGATATGAACCGACACTTCTCAAAAGAAGACATTTATGCAGCCAAAAGACACATGAAAAAATGCTCATCATTACTGGCCATCAGAGAAATGCAAATCAAAACCACAATGAGATACCATCTCACACCAGTTAGAATGGTGAACATTAACAAGTCAGGAAACAACAGGTGCTGGAGAGGATGTGGAGAAATAGGAACACTTTTACACTGTTGGTGGGACTGTAAACTAGTTCAACCATTGTGGAAGTCAGTGTGGCGATTCCTCACGGATCTAGAACTAGAAATACCATTTGACCCAGCCATCCCATTACTGGGTATATACCCAAAGGACTATAAATCATGCTGCTATAAAGACACATGCACATGTATGTTTATTGCGGCACTATTCACAATAGCAAAGACTTGGAACCAACCCAAATGTCCAACAATGACAGACTGGACTAAGAAAATGTGGCACAAATACACCATGGAATACTATGCAGCCATAAAAAATGATGAGTTCATGTCCTTTGTAGGGACATGGATGAAATTGGAAATCATCATTCTCAGTAAACTATCGCAAGGACAAAAAACCAAACACCGCATGGTCTCACTCATAGATGGGAACTGAACAATGAGAACACATGGACACAGGAAGGGGAACATCACACTCTGGGGACTGTTGTGGGGTGGGGGGAGTGGGGAGGGATGGCATTAGGAGATATACCTAATGCTAAATGACGAGTTAATGGGTGCAGCACACCGGCATGGCACATGTATACATATGTTACAAACCTGCACATTGTGCACATGTACCCTAAAACTTAAAGTATAATAATAAAAAAAAAATAGAGAGAATTTACTGTAGCAGGTAAGAAGAAAAGAGAGGCAACAGCTTGAAACTTAAAACTTATAAGACTGTTTTTCAGAAAAACAAAACTAAATGTTTTAAAAAGCCCCTTACTCAATTAATATTTAAGATACATACAGCAGGAAGAAGAAACTTGGGTCCAGGCGGAGGACATGGAGACAAGAAAGGATACTCAGCAGAGCAAAAAATCAATGTATAGATTTTTATAAATATTATTTATATGAAACAATGATAATAACAATGACTAACTTATAAGGGTGTTCATAGCAAGTTAGAAATAAAAACCTACTAGGTAATAATTTAAATCATATGAGTATATGATCACGACATTTTTCTAAGTTTCTTGTATAGTTCTGATGAAGATTAATTAAATTTTAAAGATGAATCCCCAAAACATAGAAATTTAGTGTATAACATATAAAAGTGAAAAAAGAAAACTATTTGATCAGTTAAAAATAAGCCAGGAAAAGAGAAAAGCAAGTATAAAATAGGTAAATTAGAAAACAAAAAGGTAGACATAAATTCAAATATATGTTCATATATACAATGTTTGTACACACGTATACACACATATCTGCATGCAAATGTTTACAATATTGTATATAATTATATATGTACATACATATTTTTAAAACTCAGTGTTATAGATTATGTTCCCCCAAAATTCATATGTTGAAGTCCTAAGCCCCAGTATCTCAGAATCTAAACTTACTTGGAAATATGGTTGTTGTAGATGTAATAAGTTAAGATGAGGTCATACCAGCATAGGGTGGGTCCCTAATCCAACATGACTAGCGGCCTGAGGAAAAGGATAAATGTGGGCACAGAGACATACACACAGGGAGAACACCATGAAAAGATGAAGGTGGAGATCGGGCTGATGCCTCTATAAACAAAAGAATGCCAAAGATTGCCAGAAACGCCCCAGGAACTAGAGAACTGGTGTAGAGAAGATATTTCCTTACAGACATCTGAAGGAACCAATGCTACTGACACCTTGATCTCAGACTTCCAGCATCTAAAAGTGTGAGACAATCAATTTTTGTGTTTAAGCCATGCAGTTTTTGGTACTGTATTATGGCAGCCCTAGCAAAATAATATACTTGGTAAATAACAAAATGAAGGGAGAAATAAAGATGTCATTTGAAACCAATGAGAACGAAGACACAATGTACCAGAATCTCTGGGACACATTTAAAGCAGTTTGTAAAGGGAAATTTATAGCACTAAATGCCCACAAGAGAAAGCAAGAAAGATCTAAAACTGACACTCTAACATCAAAATTAAAAGAACTAGAGAAGCAACAGCAAACAAATTAAAAATTTAGCAGAAGACAAGAAATAACTAAGATCACAGCAGAACTGAAGGAGATAGAGACACAAAAAACCCTTCAAAAAAATCAATGAATTAAGTTACATGTGTTTTACAAGACAAACATTTAAAAGATAAGGATAAACAAATGTTGAAAGTAAAATAATTGGAATGAACATTTATAAGATAAATTCTGGAAAAAAGAAACCTGGCACATTATAGTAATATCAGGAATAAAATGTTAACCTCAAAACAAAAGCTTCATGGTGATAAAATACAGCATTATATTATCATTAAAGAAATGAACTTCACCAGAAAAATATGGTAGTCCTGAACCTGCACGTGTATTGCATGGCTATGTGTGCACTACATATAGGCACATACATCTATATATAACTTATAACAGAAAAATAAACAGAATGATAACATTAAATTGAAAATTTTAAAATTATTGTGGATAGCAGTAAGATAATTTAGTTCACTAGTCTCACTATTCAATAGAAATAAACAGAATGACAACATTAAATTGAAAAATTCGAAATTATTGTAGACAGCAGTAAGATTATTTAGTGCACCACTCTCAGTATTCAATAGAAAAAGCAGACAAAAAAAATCTAAGAATATAAAACAACAGAATAGCACAAATGAAAAGTGGGTTGAGCAACATAATTAGCAAGCTTGATCTAAGAGCCTTAGAACACTGCAGCTCAATTATTTCACATTTTCTCAAGCATATAATAAACATTAATGAAAATTAACGCCTACCAGGTCATAAAGCCTGTCTCAACAAATTTTCAAAAAGTATTACTACATGTATCACATTTCTTAACACAATACAATTTACATTAGAACATTTTAAAAATATGCAATGATCTGGATGAGATTAGAGACTATTATTCTAAGTGAAGTAACTCAGAAATGGAAAACCAAACATCGTATGTTCTCACTGATATGTGGGAGCTAAGCTATGAGGATGCAAAGGCATAAGAATGATACAATAGACCATGGGAGCTTGGGGGGAAGAGTGGGAGGAGGGCGAGGGATAAAAGACAACAAATACGGTGCAGTGTATACTGCTCGGGTGATGGGTGCACCAGGATCTCAGAAATCTCCACTAAAGAACGTACTCATGTAACCAAATACCACCTGTACCCCCATAACTTATGGAAAAATAAAATTAAAATATATATATTTCAAGAAAGAAAAATTAATATTGTAAATGCTATATACATGTCTCATTTTATAGGATAAAGCTGAAAGCTCAATTAGTACAAAACTGATGTTCTTCAAAATTGTGCTAAAAATATGAAAATGATGAGATATTCATGTAAGAATCTAGACTAAAATAAAATAGAATAATGATAAAGATAATTGAATAAGGAAAACAACAAATATAAAATCATACAACAATAAAGTATTTTAAAAATGTAAGTAGAGACCTACTTCGTGGGGAGGAGCCAAGATGGCCGAATAGGAACAGCTCATGTCTACAGCTCCCAGCGTGAGCGACGCAGAAAAACGGGTGATTTCTGCGTTTCCATCTGAGGTACCGGGTTCATCTCACTAGGGAGTGCCAGACAGTGGGCGCAGGCCAGTGGGTGCGTGCACCGTCCGCGAGCCAAAGCAGGGCGAGGCATTGCCTCACCTGGGAAGCGCAAGGGGTCAGGGAGTTCCCTTTCCGAGTCAAAGAAAGGGGTGACGGATGCACCTGGAAAATCGGGTCACTCCAACCCGAATATTGCGCTTTTCAGACCGGCTTAAAAAACGGTGCACCACGAGACTATATCCCACACCTGGCTCAGAGGGTCCTACGCCCACGGAATCTCGCTGATTGCTAGCACAGCAGTCTGAGATCAAACTGCAAGGCAGCAGCGAGGCTGGGGGAGGGGCGCCCGCCATTGCCCAGGCTTGCTCAGGTAAACAAAGCAGCCCTGAAGCTCGAACTGGGTGGAGCCCACCACAGCTCAAGGAGGCCTGCCTGCCTCTGTAGGCTTCACCTCTGGGGGCAGGGCACAGACAACCAAAAAGACAGCAGTAACCTCTGCAGACTTAAATGTCCCTGTCTGACAGCTTTGAAGAGAGCAGTGGGTCTCCCAGCACGCAGCTGGAGATCTGAGAACGGGCAGACTGCCTCCTCAAGTGGGTCCCTGACCCCTGACCCCCGAGCAGCCTAACTGGGAGGCACCCCCCAGCAGGGGCACACTGACACCTCACACGGCAGGGTACTCCAACAGACCTGCAGCTGAGGGTCCTGTCTGTTAGAAGGAAAACTAACAAACAGAAAGGACATCCACACCAAAAACCCATCTGTACATCACCATCGTCAAAGACCAAAAGTAGATAAAACCACAAAGATGGGGAAAAAACAGAACAGAAAAACTGGAAAGTCTAAAACGCAGAGCGCCTTTCCTCCTCCAAAGGAACGCAGTTCCTCACCAGCAATGGAACAAAGCTGGATGGAGAATGACTTTGACGAGCTGAGAGAAGAAGGCTTCAGACGATCAAATTACTCTGAGCTACGGGAGGACATTCAAACCAAAGGCAAAGAAGTTGAAAACTTTGAAAAAAATTTAGAAGAATGTATAACTAGAATAACCAATACAGAGAAGTGCTTAAAGGAGCTGATGGAGCTGAAAACCAAGGCTCGAGAACTACGTGAAGAATGCAGAAGCCTCAGGAGCCGATGCGATCAACTGGAAGAAAGGGTATCAGCAATGGAAGATGAAATGAATGAAATGAAGTGAGAAGGGAAGTTTAGAGAAAAAAGAATAAAAAGAAATGAGCAAAGCCTCCAAGAAATATGGGACTATGTGAAAAGACCAAATCTACCTCTGATTGGTGTACCTGAAAGTGATGGGGAGAATGGAACCAAGTTGGAAAACACTCTGCAGGATATTATCCAGCAGAACTTCCCCAATCTAGCAAGGCAGGCCAACATTCAGATTCAGGAAATACAGAGAACGCCACAAAGATACTCCTCAAGTAGAGCAACTCCAAGACACATAATTGTCAGATTCACCAAAGTTGAAATGAAGGAAAAACTGTTAAGGGCAGCCAGAGAGAAAGGTTGGGTTACCCACAAAGGGAAGCCCATCAGACTAACAGCGGATCTCTCGGCAGAAACCCTACAAGCCAGAAGAGAGTGGGAGCCAATATTCAACATTCTTAAAGAATTTTCAACCCAGAATTTCATATCCAGCCAAACTAAGCTTCATAAGTGAAGGAGAAATAAAATACTTTACAGACAAGCAAATGCTGAGAGATTTTGTCACCACCAGGCCTGCCCTAAAAGAGCTCCTGAAGGAAGCGCTAAACATGGAAAGGAACAACTGGTACCAGCCGCTGCTGCAAAATCATGCCAAAATGTAAAGACCATCGAGACTAGGAAGAAACTGCATCAACTAACGGCAAAATCACCAGCTAACATCATAATGACAGGATCAAATTAACACATAACAATGTTAACTTTAAATGTAAATGGACTAAATTCTCCAATTAAAAGACACAGACTGGCAAATTGGATAAAGAGTCAAGACCCATCACTGTGCTGTATTCAGGAAACCCATCTCATGTGCAGAGACACACATAGGCTCAAAATAAAAGGAAGGAGGAAGATCTACCAAGCCAATGGAAAACAAAAAAAGGCAGGGGTTGCAATCCTAGTCTCTGATAAAACAGACTTTAAACCAACAAAGATCAAAAGAGACAAAGAAGGCCATTACATAATGGTAAAGGGATCAATTCAACAAGAAGAGCTAACTATCCTAAAAATATATGCACCCAATACAGGATCACCAAGATTCATGAAGCAAGTCCTGAGTGACCTACAAAGAGACTTAGACTCCCACACATTAATAATGGGAGACTTTAACACCCCACTGTCAACATTAGACAGATCAACGAGACAGAAAGTCAACAAGGATACCCAGGAATTGAACTCAGCTCTGCACCAAGCGGACCTAATAGACATCTACAGAACTCTCCACCCCAAATCAACAGAATATACATTTTTTTCAGCACCACACCACACCTATTCCAAAATTGACCACATACTGGGAAGTAAAGCTCTCCTCAGCAAATGTAAAAGAACAGAAATTATAACAAACTATCTCTCAGACCACAGTGCAATCAAACTAGAACTCAGGATTAAGAATCTCACTCAAAACGGCTCAACTACATGGAAACTGAACAACCTGCTCCTGAATGACTACTGGGTACATAACGAAATGAAGGCAGAAATAAAGATGTTCTTTGAAACCAACGAGAACAAAGACACAACATACCAGAATCTCTGGGACGCATTCAAAGCAGTGTGTAGAGGGAAATTTATAGCACTAAATGCCCACAAGAGAAAGCAGGAAAGATCCAAAATTGACACCCTAACATCACAATTAAAAGAACTAGAAAAGCAAGAGCAAACACATTCAAAAGCTAGCAGAAGGCAAGAAATAACTAAAATCAGAGCAGAACTGAAGGAAATAGAGACACGAAAAACCCTTCAAAAAATTAATGAATCCAGGAGCTGGTTTTTTGAAAGGATCAACAAAATTGATAGACCACTAGCAAGACTAATAAAGAAAAAAAGAGAGAAGACTCAAATAGACACAATAAAAAATGATAAAGGGGATATCACCACCGATCCCACAGAAATACAAACTACCATCAGAGAATACTACAAACACCTCTACGCAAATAAACTAGAAAATCTAGAAGAAATGGATACATTCCTCGACATATACACTCTCCCAAGACTAAACCAGGAAGAAGTTGAATCTCTGAATAGACCAATAACAGGAGCTGAAATTGTGGCAATAATCAATAGTTTACCAACCAAAAAGAGTCCAGGACCAGATGGATTCACAGCCGAATTCTACCAGAGGTACAAGGAGGAGCTGGTACCATTCCTTCTGAAACTATTCCAATCAATAGAAAAAGAGGGAATCCTCCCTAACTCATTTTATGAGGCCAGCATCATTCTGATACCAAAGCCGGGCAGAGACACAACCAAAAAAGAGAATTTTAGACCAATATCTCTGATGAACATCGATGCAAAAATCCTCAATTAAATACTGGCAAACCAAATCCAGCAGCACATCAAAAAGCTTATCCACCATGATCAAGTGGGCTTCATCCCTGGGATGCAAGGCTGGTTCAATATACGCAAATCAACAAATGTAATCCAGCATATAAACAGAGCCAAAGACAAAAACCACATGATTATCTCAATAGATGCAGAAAAAGCCTTTGACAAAATTCAACAACCCTTCATGCTAAAAACTCTCAATAAATTAGGTATTGATGGGACGTATTTCAAAATAATAAGAGCTATCTATGACAAACCCACAGCCAATATCATACTGAATGGGCAAAAACTGGAAGCATTCCCTTTGAAAACTGGCACAAGACAGGGATGCCCTCTCTCACCGCTCCTATTCAACATAGTGTTGGAAGTTCTGGCCAGGGCAATCAGGCAGGAGAAGGAAATAAAGGGTATTCAATTAGGAAAAGAGGAAGTCAAATTGTCCCTGTTTGCAGATGACATGATTGTTTATCTAGAAAACCCCATCATCTCAGCCCAAAATCTCCTTAAGCTGATAAGCAACTTCAGCAAAGTCTCAGGATACAAAATCAATGTACAAAAATCACAAGCATTCTTATACACCAACAACAGACAAACAGAGAGCCAAATCATGAGTGAACTCCCATTCACAATTGCTTCAAAGAGAATAAAATACCTAGGAATCCAACTTACAAGGGATGTGAAGGACCTCTTCAAGGAGAACTACAAACCACTGCTCAAGGAAATAAGAGGACACAAACAAATGGAAGAACATTCCATGCTCATGGGTAGGAAGAATCAATATCGTGAAAATGGCCATACTGCCCAAGGTAATTTACAGATTCAATGCCATCCCCATGAAGCTACCAATGACTTTCTTCACAGAATTGGAAAAAACTACTTTAAAGTTCATATGGAACCAAAAAAGAGCCCGCATCGCCAAGTCAATCCTAAGCCAAAAGAACAAAGCTGGAGGCATCACACTACCTGACTTCAAACTATACTACAAGGCTACAGTAACCAAAACAGCATGGTACTGGTACCAAAACAGAGATATAGATCAATGGAACAGAACAGAGGCCTCAGAAATAATGCCGCATATCTACAACTATCTGATCTTTGACAAACCTGAGAAAAACAAGCAATGGGGAAAGGATTCCCTATTTAACAAATGGTGCTGGGAAAACTGGCTAGCCATATGTAGAAAGCTGAAACTGGATCCCTTCCTTACACCTTATACAAAAATCAATTCAAGATGGATTAAAGATTTAAACGTTAGACCTAAAACCATAAAAACCCTAGAAGAAAACCTAGGCATTACCATTCAGGACATAGGCGTGGGCAAGGACTTCATGTCCAAAACACCAAAAGCAATGGCAACAAAAGCCAAAATTGACAAATGGGATCTAATTAAACTAAAGAGCTTCTGCACAGCAAAAGAAACTACCATCAGAGTGAACAGGCAACCTACAACATGGGAGAAAATTTTCGCAACCTACTCATCTGACAAAGGGCTAATATCCAGAATCTACAATGAACTCAAACAAATTTACAAGAAAAAAACAAACAACCCCATCAAAAAGTGGGCCAAGGACATGAACAGACACTTCTCAAAAGAAGACATTTATGCAGCCAAAAAACACATGAAGAAATGCTCATCATCACTGGCCATCAGAGAAATGCAAATCAAAATCACTATGAGATATCATCTCACACCAGTTAGAATGGCAATCATTAAAAAGTCAGGAAACAACAGGTGCTGGAGAGGATGTGGAGAAATAGGAACACTTTTACACTGTTGGTGGGACTGTAAACTAGTTCAACCATTGTGGAAGTCAGTGTGGCGATTCCTCACGGATCTAGAACTAGTAATACCATTTGACCCAGCCATCCCATTACTGGGTATATACCCAAAGGACTATAAATCATGCTGCTATAAAGACACATGCACACGTATGTTTATTGCGGCACTATTCACAATAGCAAAGACTTGGAACCAACCCAAATGTCCAACAATGATAGACTGGATTAAGAAAATGTGGCACATATACACCATGGAATACTATGCAGCCATAAAAAATGATGAGTTCATGTCCTTTGTAGGGACATGGATGAAATTGGAAACCATCATTCTCAGTAAACTATCGCAAGAACAAAAAACCAAACACCGCATATTCTCACTCATAGGTAGGAATTGAACAATGAGATGACATGGACACAGGAAGGGGAATATCACACTCTGGGGACTGTGGTGGGGTCGGGGGAGGGGGGAGGGATAGCATCGGGAGACATACCTAATGCTAGATGACACGTTAGTGGGTGCAGCGCACCAGCATGGCACATGTATACATATGTAACTAACCTGCACAATGTGCACATGTACCCTAAAACTTAGAGTATAATAAAAAAAAAAACATTAAAAAAATAAACAAAATAAAAAAAATAAAAAAAATAAATGTGCTGATTAAACCTAAAAAAAAAAAAAGAATCCCTTTCTAAACAAGTCAAAATATGACAAGACTATCTGCTAGCACTGCTTCTTCTGTAGGTCCTTGCAGGTGCACAGTATGGCTGCATTTTGCATCATGCACTCTATATAAATGGTATTCCCTAGAGTTGTGCAGAATACAGTCTTATTAGCAGAACTAGAAAAGAAAGCAAAGATGTATGTGTTGAAAACTTTCCTCATTTCCATCTGCTATAATCGCCTATTTAGAAACTGCAACAGAATTTATAAACAAATTATTAAAATTAATAAGAACACTTGCCAATGAGTCTGGAAATCAGATTATTAAACAAATGTATTTGCATTTCTATATACCAGCAATGAATCACTAATTGAATAATGGTCATTTATAAGGCAGAAAAATAATTAGGTACATGGGGGGAAAATCTAAAGAAAGATATGCAAGACCTTTATGGTGAACATTCTAAGACTTTATTATGTATACCATACAATAAAAGATAGATGGCCTGTATACACTGATGGAACGATGATGGCAAAACTGCCACATATAATTAGATATATCTAAATGGTCAGAATAATTCTATTTAAAAATCCTAACATTGCTACTTCTGAACCTTAAGAAGCTGATTCTAAAGTTTATTTGGAAAATTAAGGGCCAAAAGTAGCCAATTCCTCTGTGGAAAAAAATCAACAACAACATAGTGAGTATTTGTGCCCTATCAGATAATTTCTATAAATACATTGTACTTAACAAAGTATGGTATTGAAAAAGAAACAGACAAATAAAACAATGGAATAAAATAAAGATCCAAGAAAAACACATAAATAAAAACTTTAAAAATGAAATAAAAGGCATTGAAGACTAATGAGGAATTATGATAATCTGCTGAATGAAATATGAGGGGATATTTGAATATATATAGGAGAAAAATGAATTCGTAACTCTCTTTCACACATACACACAAGGACACATGCATATACATATATATGTGTGTATATGTATAAACACATATATGTGTGTGTGTGCATGTGTGTGTGTGTGTATCTCCAGGTAAAATAACGACCTAAATATAAAAAAGCAATATTTTAATTTTGTTAAAAAATAGGAGAGGCTATTTATGAACTCATGGTAACAGAATTGTATCGTAATAAAATACCAAAACACAGAGCAGAAAGAAAAGATACATTATACATTAAAACCAGTAATTTTTATAAATCAAAAACTAATAAAGTAAAATGGCCACAACTTGACAAATGACACCTGCAATTCCATATGATCAAGAAGAATTACTAACCAGAATATATTAGAAACTCCTTGTTACACTCTTGTTCTTTCTTGTCTTCTGCTAGCTTTGTTTTCTCTTAGTTCCTTAGTTCTTGTAGCTGTAATGTTAGATGGTTAACTTGAGATCTTTCTAACTTTTTGATGCGGGCATTTTAGTGCTAAAAGTTTCCCTCTTAACACTTCCTTAGCTGTGTTCCAGAGATACCGGTATGTTGTATCTTTGTTCTCATTAGTTTCAAAGAACTTAAAAATATTTCAAATGTTTAACTTATAAATTTTATTTTTTTCTTATTTTTTTATTTCCATAGGTTTGGGGGAACAGGTGGTATTTGGTTACATGAGTAAGTTCTTTAGTGATGATCTGTGAGATTTTGGTGTACCCCTCCCCCAAGCAGCATACACTGAACCCAATTTGTTGTCTTTTATCCCTCATCCCCTTCCCAGCTTTTCCCTGCAAGTCCCCAAAGTCTACTGTATCATTCTTATGCCTTTGCATCCTCATAGCTTAGCTCCCACTTATAAGTGAGAACATACCATGCTTGGTCTTCCATTCCTGAGTTACTCCACTTAGAATAATAGTCTCCAATCTCACCCAGGTTGCTGTGACTGCCATTAATTCATTTCTTTTTTACGGCTGAGCAGTATTCCATCATATATATATATTTTTTTTTCATATATATATTCATATATATATGAATAAACTGATATATATACATGTCAATAAACTGTTATATATATATCTCACAATTTCTTTATCTGCTCGTTGATTGATGGACATTTGGACTGGTTCCACATTTTTGCAATTGTGAATTGTGCTGCTATAAATATGTGTGTGCAAGTATCTTTTTCTTATAATGGCTTATTTTCCTCTGGGTATATATCCAGTAGCGGGATTGCTGGATCAAATGGTAGTTCTACTTTTAGTTCTTTAAGGAATCCCCACACTGTTTTCCATAGTGGTTGTACTAGTTTACATTCCTAACAGCAGTACAGAAGTGTTACCTTTTCATCACATCCATGACAACATCTATTATTTTTTGATTATGGCCATTCTTGTGGGAGTGAGGTGGTATCACATTGTGGTTTTGATTTGCACTTCCCTGATCATTAGTGATGTTGAATATTTTTCCATGCTTTTTGGCCATTTGTATATCTTCTTTTGGAGAATTGTCTATTCACGTCCTTAGCCCACTTTTTGATGGGGCTTTTTGTTTTCTTCTTGCTAATTTGTTTGAGTTCATTGTAGAGTCAACATATTACCGGAAGTCCTAGCTAGAACAGTCAGACAAGAGAAAGAAATAAAAGGCATCCAAATTGCTAAAGAGGAAGTCAATCTGTCACTGTTTGCTGATAATATGATTGTATACCTAAAAAACCCTAAAGACTCCTCCAAAAAGCTCCTAGAACTGATAAATAAATTCAGCAAAGTTTCAGGATACAAAATTAGTGTACACAAATCAGTACCTCTGCTATACACCAATAGTGACCAAGCTGAGAATCAAATCAAGAACTCAGCCCCTTTTACAATAGCTGCAAAAAATTAAAATACTTAGGAATATACCTAACCAAGGAGGTGAAAGACTTCTACAAGGAAAACTACAAAATGCTGCTGAAAGAAATTATAGATGACACAAATGGAAACACATCCCATGCTCAGGGATGTGAAGAATCAGTATTGCGAAAATGACCATACTGCTAAAAGCAATCTACAAATTCAATGAAATTCCCATCAAAATACCACTATCATTCTTCACGGAACCAGAAAAAAATACTAAAATTCTACGTGGAACCAAGAAAGAGCCCACCTAGCCAAAGCAAGATTGAGCAAAAAGAACAATTCTAGAGGCATCACATTACCCAACTTCAAACTATGCTATAAGGCCATAGTCAGCAAAACAGCAGAGTACCGGTATAAAAATAGGCACACAGACCAATGGAACAGAATAGAGAACCCAGAAATAAAACAAATACTTACAGCCAACTGATCTTTGACAAAGCAAACAGAAACATAAAGTGGGGAAAGGATACTCTATTCAACAAATACTGCTGGGATAGTGGACAAGACACCTGCAGGAGAATGAAACTGGATCCTCATCTCTCACTTCATACAAAAATAGACTCAAGATGTATCAAGGACTTAAATCTAAGACCTTAAACTCTACAAATTCTAGAAGATAACATGGGAAAAACCTTCTAGACATTGGCTTAGGCAAAGATTTCATGACCAAGAACCCAAAATCAAATGCAGTAAAAACAAAGACAAATAGGTGGGACTTAAACTAAAGAGCTTCTGCACAGCAAAAGGAACAGTCAGCAGAGTAAACAGATAACTCACAAAGTGGGAGAAAATCTTCACACTCTATATATCTGACAAAGGACTAATATCAAAGAACTTCTTGATTTCTGCTTCAATTTAATTATTTACCCCCAAATCATTCAGGAGCAGGTTATTCAATTTCCATGTAATTGTGTGGTTTTGAGTGACTTTGTTAATCTTCATTTCTAATTTGATTGAGCTGTGGTCCCAGAGAGTGTTTGTTATGATTTTACTTCTGATTATGTGATCAATTTTTGAGTAAGTGCCATATCACAGTGAGAAAAATGCATATTCTGTTGTTTTGGGATGAAGAGTTCTGTACCCCTGAACTTAAGATATACATTATAGAAAACAACAACGAAGCTGAAATGAGTCAAAACTACCAAACACACACACACATGCACGCACGCATGCATGCACACACACACGCACACATGCACACACAGAGAGAGAAACTCTTCGTTCATTAAAAAAAAGAAAAGTTGGCCTGCGCAGTGGCTCACCCCTGTAATCACACCACCTTGGGCAGGTGGATCACCTGAGGTCAGGAGTTCAAGACCAGCCTGGCCAACACGGAGAAACCCCGTCTCTACTGAAAATACAAAAATTAGCTGGGTGTGATGGCACATGCCTGTAATCCCAGCTACTTGGGAGGCTGAGGCAGGATAATTTCTTGAACCTTGGAGGCGAAGGTTGCAGTGCCACTGCACTCCAGCCTGGGTGACAAGAGTGAAACTCCATCTAAAAAAAAAAAAAAAAAAAAAAAAAAAGAAGAAAGAAAAGTTAACCAATAAAATATTAATTCACAGAAGAGATAAAATATTCAATAAAAACATGAAAAAATACTGTATCTTACCAATGTTCAGGAGAATGGAAATTAAAACTGCAATGAGATACCATTTCATACTTGCCAGTTAAGCAAAATTTAGAAAGTATGACTACACTAAATATTGTGAGAATGTAGAACAATGTTAACTGTGTTAGGACTGCAATTGTTTCAATTTCTTTATGACAATGTAGTAATATCTACTATAGTTGAAGATGAACATACTGGATGACCCAGCAATTGAGCTTATGGATATAAATCATAGGAAAACAAAAAAAAAATAGAGAAAGAAAAATAAAGCAGAGTGAATTGCTGTAAAGGGAAAATGAGAGCACAGAAAATTCACTTTGGGGAGAAGCAACTACTGAAGTTAAAGTTAGCATTCTCACAAAATCTCCAGAGAAATAACCAAGCTAAGAGTCACCAAATACAAAGAGCTGGAAAGCAATATGGGGAAATAATCAGAGAAATTAATTAAAGGACTAAATTTGAAGCAGCTGCTGCACTGAACTTCTCTCCCTTCTCCATATTTAACATCTGGTGACAACTGCATTTGCCCTTGAGAAAAAGCCCTAAGAACTAATATATAAACAAAGTGAGTAACTTTTCTTGGAAGGGCTTTTAGCATGAGTGTTGACACTGAGGAAACATTGCAGAGCTAGTAAATTTGTAAGAATATAAAGATTACTTCTGTACATATAGAAGGTTTTATTTTTTAAACAGTTGCAGTCAATCTCCAACAAAGTAGTTATAAGTGTACTTAACTTGGGAGATTTAAGAAATATGTCTCACGTCCAGAGAAACAAGATAGAACCCTCAAGATAAACATAAAATCTTTGGATATGCATCCTTCCTCTCATTTATAATTATTAGTAACATGCTCTTGTAATATCTAGGTACACTGGATTTGGATTCATGACAAGTAAACAGAGATATGCATTCCGACTAATAAAGTGCGTTCCAGCTTCCGATATTGTTCAGTCTAGATTTTAATTACAAATAGGAGCAGCCAATAATCATCAAATATTTGGAAAGCGAGGCACCTTGAAAGACACATCAGACTAAATATTCAGAAAAGTTAGTGCCCTCTCCAAAATAAAGTTAACTTATGACACAGAAAAAAATACTTCAGAATAAATATCTTCAGGCAGATTTAAAAACTGGCTGCTATGAATCAGAATCATATTTCTGGAACTTATAGGATAATTAGGAAAAATAAATGAATAGATAAATAGAATGAAAATAGCTGAAGAGTCAATTAATGAACTGAAAGACTGAACAAAGTAATTAGCCTAGGAATGTAATGTAATAAGACAAATAGATGAAAAGTATAAGAGAAGAGCTAAGAAGTGTGAAGAATGGATGGAAAAATTTCAATTTGTCCATTAACGTTTCCAGAAGAAACAGTCATAGGCAAAAGTGGGTGTGGTAGGGAGAATAATGGGCTACCAAATATGTTTATGTCCATATCCCAAAAACCTGTTACTATATTAGCCTACATAGTATGACAGGCTGAATAATGGTCTGCAAAATATGCCCACAGTATAATCCTTAGAACCTGTGAAATGTTTCCTTATCAAGAGGGTATTTGCAGATGTGATTAAGTTAAGGATCTTGAGGTGAGGAGATTATCCAGGTGAGCTGGGTGTATTTTCAGTGGTTCTTATCACAGGAATGCAGGAGTCAGAAGTAAAGGAGGTGATCTGACTAAGGAAGCAGAGATTAGAGTGATGTGTCCAGGAGCCAAGGAATGCTGGAAACTTCAGAAGCTGAAGGAGGCAAAGAACAGATTTTCCTCCTCTGGTGCCCCCAGCAGGAACCAGCCCTGAGGACATCTTGATTTTAGCCCTTTAAGATTCTTTTTGGCTTTCTGACCTCCATAAGTGTAAGAGAATAAACTGTGTTGCTTTAAGCCAACAAATTTGCAGTAATTTGCACACCAGTAATAGGAAATTAATGCACATGGCACAGGTGAATTAAATTTACCGGTGGAATTACAGTTGCTAATCAGCTGATCTTAAACATTTGAAAACTAATTTGATTCACTCTATTAACAGACTGAAAATGAAAAATCATATGATAATCCCAAAAGAATAAGAAAAAAACATTGCGAAATCCCATATCCATTCCTCATTAAAAATCTCACTCAACTAGCAATAAGAATGAACCTCTTTAGTCTGATAATGGGTATCTACAAAAAATCTACAAGTAATGGTGAAAGATTAACTTTCCTCCAAAATAAAACAATAAGATAAAGCTGTCCATTCTCAACACTTCTACTCATCATTGCATTGGAAATTCTAGTCAGTGTAATAAGGTGAGAAGAGGAAAAAGGAATTAAAAGGAATCCTGCTCAGAGAGAAAAAAGTAAAACAGTCTGAATCCACAGATGGCATAATTATGTACATTTTTAAAAATCACATGAACTGTACAAAAAACTACCAGGACAAATACGTAATTTTAATAATGTTTCGGGATACAACATCAATATACAAAATCAGTTATATTTCTATATACTAGTAATGATCAACATGTAAATTTATAGCAATAAACCAATTTTCAAGGGCATAAAAATATAAAATACTTAGAAATAAATCTAGCAAAAGGTGTTCAAAATATGTACATGGAAAACTGACACCTTGTGAAGACAAAATAGAGGAGCTAAATATTTATAGAGATGTGTTATAGTCATAGGTTGGAAAACCCAATAACTCAAAACTTATCAGATTGCCCCCAAATTGATCTAGAAATGCAACAAATCCCAATAAAAATTGTTATTCTTTTGGTATAAATTCACTGGTTGATTCTAACCTTCATATAGAAATGCAAAGAAGTAGTCAAATTCAGTTTGAAAAAAAATGTGTGAAGGATTTAAACTATCTGATTTCATGACTTACTGTAAGTCTACAGAAATCAGGATGGTATGGTGATGGCCTAAGATGAACAAATAGATTAATGGATTGAAATAAATTTTCCAGATATAGGCCCACACTTATATGATCAACTGATTTTCAACAAAGGTACAGAAAGCAATTAAGTATACAAAGTGTATATTTTTCAACAAATGGTACTAGAGCAATTGAATATCTATAGATCTAAAAAATTTCTAATCATACTTTGAATAATCCACAAAATTTTCTCTAGAAGAAGAATAGACATAAATACAAAACCTAATACTGTAACAGTTATAGAAGAAAATACGAAAAAATTATTTGTGATATCGAGTGAGGCAAATATTTCTTAGATAGAAACCTAAATAATGATTCAAGAAATAAAATATTGGTAAGTTGGACCTAATTAAAATTAAGTTCTTCTCTGTAAAAGACACATTTTAAGACAAGACAAAGACAAGTAACTTACTGGAAGTAAATATTAGCAAACTACATATCTGATAAAAAGACTTGTATTTAGAACATATAAAGAACTCTCAATACTTGTTAGCAATTTTAAAAAAACTCAGTAAATTAACAAGGAAAATATTTACCAGGCATTTTATCAAAGAAGAACATAATGCAAATGAGCATTACATATAAAATGGTGTGTAAATACATAAAATGGTATGTACAGTGGTTATGAAGTGCAAGTTAAGATATGAGCAATGAGATACCACTACATATGTATTAGAATATTAAAAATTAAGAAGACCTACCATACCAAGTGTTGGTAATGATATAGAGCATCTTGAAACCTCTTACACTGCTGGTGGCAATGTAAAATGGTGTAATAATTTTGGAAAACAGTTTAGCAGTCTCTCAAAAATCTATACATACACTATCCATATGAACAATGCATTCAATTCTGATATGATTTGTCTGTGTCCCCTCTCAAATCTCAACTTGAATTTTAGTTCCCATAATTCCCACAGGTCATGAGAGGGACCCCATGGGAGGTAATTTAATCATGGAGGCAGTTACGCTCTTGCTGTTCTCATGATAGTGAGTGAGTTCTCATGAGATCTGATGGTTTTATAAGGGGCTTTCCCCACCTTCCCTCGGCACTTCTTGTTGCCACCATGTGAAGAAAGATGTGTTTGCTTCCTCTTCTGCCATGACTTTAAGTTTCCTGAGGCCTCACCAGCCGTGCTGAACTGTGAGTTAATTAAATCTCTTTCCTTTATAAATTACCCAGTCTCAGGTATGTCCTTATTAGCAGTGTGATAATGGACTAATACATATCCCTAGGCGTTTACCCAATAGAAATAAAAGTATATGACCATACAAAGATTTGTACACTATTAGTAGCAGCTTTATTTGTATCCCTCTCAAATTAATAACAACCTAAATATCCATCAATAGGGGGACATCAAACTGTTTACCCATACAAATTAATGTGGCTCAACATAAGGATTAAACTATTGATACATGCAACAACATGGATAAATTTCAAAATAATTACACAGAGTGAAAAAAAGGTTGAAGAAAATGATGGTACGTGTATGATTTCATTTATATAAAACTCTAGAATGCAAATTAGTGTATAGTGAGAGAAAGTGGACCAGTGGCTGCCTGGAGATGGAAATGTAGGAGTTGGGGAGTTACCAATGGGGCATTAATGAACTTTTGGAGATAATCTGTGTTTATTTTCTTGATTGTTATGATGATTTCATGGTTGTACACATAGGTTAAAACTTATCAAAATGTGTACTTTAAATACATTCATTTTACTGTATGTCAATTATATGGCACTGAAACTGTTTAAATAAAAGAACTTAAAAATAATAATCACAATGAATTATAGCTTATTGAATACAATTTTTTTTTTTTTTTTTTTTTTTGAGACGGAGTCTCGCTCTGTCGCCCAGGCTGGAGTGCAGTGGCGGGATCTTGGCTCACTGCAAGCTCCGCCTCCCGGGTTCATGCCATTCTCCTGCCTCAGCCTCCCAAGTAGCTGGGACTACAGGCGCCCGCCACTACGCCCGGCTAATTTTTTTTTTGTATTTTTAGTAGAGACGGGGTTTCACCATTTTAGCCGGGATGGTCTCGATCTCCTGACCTCGTGATCCGCCCGCCTCGGCCTCCCAAAGTGCTGGGATTACAGGCATGAGCCACCGCGCCCGGCCGAATACAAATTATTTTTAAAAATTCATTATAAATAGATAGTAAATCTAAATATGAAAGATAAAACCATAAAATTTCTAGAGAAAAACGTAGAAAATATCTTAATGACATTGGCAAAGATGATTTTGTTAAGCTCCTTCGATACAAAGAAATTATACAGGATAAAGTTGGCAAATTTGACTAAGTTAAAATTAAAACATGTCAATTCAAAGACAATATTTAAAAAATAAAAAGTCAAGGCACAGAGTGAGAATAGATAGATGGGTAGATAGATCCCAATAAAGGACTTATATCCCAAATATAGGGAAAACTCCTACAAAGTACTATGAAAAAGATAAATACCACAATTTAAAAATGGGAAAGATATTTTAAAAGGCACTTCACAAAAGAGGTTATAAAAATGGCCATTAAACTATGAATAAAAGATACACAATCATGTTAGTAGTTAAGGCAATATGCATTAAAACCACAGTAAGATACCACCACATACCCAACAGATTGACTAAAATGAAAAGTCTGAAAATGCCAAAAGTTGACAAGGAGCTTAAACTCTGCTATAATTGAATACAGGTATTCCCTATGACCAAGCTATTCCATTCAATAGAAATACATTTATAAAATCAAGAACAAACGCTGGAAAAAAACTAAATATGTATCAAAAGTAAATTGGATAAATTGTAATGTATCTATACTGTGGTATATTATAAACTCATGAAAAGGAACAGACTATTGTTGCATGCAGCAATATACATGAATCTCACAAACATAACGTTGAGAAAAACAAAAGCCAGACACTACAGAGTATATTTTGAATAGTACCATTTACCTAAAGCCAACAACAACAACAAAAAAAAGCAAAACGAATCTGAGGTCCCCTGAATCAGACTGTGGTTTCCTTGTTTGGGGGCAACTAGTGAGAGGTTGTGGCACAGGCAGGCTTCTTGGGTGTTGGTAGGGTTCTATTTTTTAATTTTGGTGGAATCACAAAGATGTATTCACATTGTGAAAATTCACTGAATTTATGCTATGTGTACATTTCTGTGTGCATATTCAGTATAATCTATTTTTAAAAGAAGAAACTTATAATGCTTCTGAGTTGCTTTATATGAAAATAAACATGAAAGAAGAATTGCATAAAAAGAGGGAAAGAATAATCTAAGTCTTTGTTAGCTTGTAAATGAATACAAATTCTCAGAAAGAACAAATAATAAAATCCTGTGAAGGTGGAGTGAGGAATAGGAAGTGAGTAGTGAATGGAAAAAAGACAGAGTTGGGAGAGAGAATTTTCAAGGTTTTGAAAAAAAATGAAGTTAAAATAGTCTGAAATTTGCAAAAATAAAACACAAATGAAAGAAAGGGAAAAAAGGAAGGAGGCTAGGGGGAAGGAAAAGAGATTTTTGTCTACTCCTAAAGGTGATCAAACACAGACCAATGATTACTCAAAAGGACACCAAGGAGAGGACTCTCTGAAAAGAGCAGGGAATCATGTCAGGGTCTGAGAGTGAGAAAGTTGATAGGTGTCAAGGAAATCTGTACAAAGTAGAAATCCTGAGTTAAAACACTGCTTACACACTGAAAAGTTAATTTTCCTTGCAAAGCAAGAAATCTGCAGTAGGTGGTTGCTGGTGTAGAGTAAAAAATACAAGGATGTCTGGATTGTGTTTCTGCGTTCTCGTGGCTCTCAGCATCTTCGAGTTGTCTCATGGCTTCAAGAAGGCATCTGTACCTTAGGAATTCATGTCCAACATCCACAGAGGAAGAAGAGAGAAAGACAAAGGATCTGAAGTCTATATTTTGATCAAGTCTCTCCCTTTTAAATGGTTGTCTGGAGGCTATTCCTGTGACTTGGGTGTGGCTAGAACTTTGTCACATAGCCACATATGGCTGCATGATAACCACAGAGATGCAGATGCTGCATAGGATTGAGTCAGTTAACTCACAGTCTGCTGGCTGCACTGAATACTACATCTAACTGGTAGGTTTGATCCTGTGTCTGGTCTTTTGGACTGGAATTCATCCTTGCTTAAAGCTTAATCTCTTGAATATGACATCTAAGTCTTTGATGATCTGGATCCTATTTTCCTCTTTGTCCTCATGTTCTACTACCCTCTGATTGACACATGTTACAGTTTGAGTATGTGTATCCTCCGAATCTCATGTTGAAATTTAATTCCCAATGTTGGAGTGAGGACTTAGTGGGAGGTGTTTGGGTCATGAGAGCAGATTCCTCATGAATGGCTTGGTGCCATCATCATAGTAATGGGTGAATTCTCACTGTATTAGTTCCTGCAAGAAATGATTGCTAAAAAGAGCCTGGCCCCTCCCTCACCCTTCTCTCTCTTCCTTCTCCTCCCGCCATGTGATGCCTGCTTCCTTTCACCTTCAATGAGTAGAAGCTTTCTGAAGCCCTCATCAGAAGTATGATGCCATGCTTCACACATGTCTGCTGATGCCATGCTTCTCATACAACCTGAAGAACCTGTGAGCCAAATAAACCTCTTTTATTTACAAATTACTCAACCTCATGTATGCCTTTCTAGTCGTACAAATGGCCTAAAACAGAAAATTGGTATGAAGGAGTGCAGTTTTGTTATAAAGATACCTGAAGATGTGGAAGTGGCTTTGGAACTGGGTAATGAGCAGCAATTGGAAGAATTTGGAGGGCTCAGAAGAAGACAGGAAGACGAAGGAATGTTTGAAACTTGTTAGAGAATGATTAAGTGCTCGTGACCAAAATCCAATAGAAATATGGACAGTAAAAGCCATGCTGATGAGGCCTTAGATGAAAATGGGGAACTCATTGGGAACTGAAACAAAGGTCTCCCTTGTTACACCATAGCAAAGAACTTGGCTGCATTGTGTCCATGTCCTAGGACTTTGTGGAAAGCTAAACTTAAGAGTGATGATCTGGGGCATCTGGTGGAAGACATTTCTAACCAGCAAAGCATTAAAGAAGTGACCTAGCTGCTTCTAATAGTCTGTAATCAGACGTGAGAGCAAAGGGATGATCTAAAGTTTGAACGTACAATTAAAAAGGAAGCAGAGCATAAACATTTGGAAAATTTTCAGCCTGGTCATGTGGTAAAGAAAACAGCATTTTCCATATAGGAATTCAAAAGTATGGCCTGGCTATGAGGAGCACCCTGACTAGGCTGCCCTGCTTCCTGCTCCATGGTAGCTTCTTTGGTTCCTGTCCCCAAAACTAGCCTCTCTGCCTCCTTCTAATCCAGGGAGGCCCCATGAACCTTACATTGAATCCCTGTTTTGTTATGTTACCCAGAATTGGTTTCCATCGCTGTCAAACAAATACTTCAACTGATATGTAAGCCATTTCCATATTCTGAATATAAAAATGCCCATTCTTTAATATGGAACTCTTGTTCTATTGCTCATCTTTGCTTTTCCCCTGCTTCTGCCCCCTTTTCCTTATCAGTTACTAAGATCTCTTCCTTCTCTTACCCTTAATAAGGGAGGAAAAGAAAGGAGTGATAAATCCAGGATAAACAAAACTATTTATAAGTATAATCTTAAAGGTAGCCCCCTGCAAAAGACAAAGAAATCAGAACTGTATTGCACTGAATTATCTTGTGTTCATTTAACAGTTATTTACTGACCTGTATGCTAGGCACTATGCTGGCATGGGGGATACGAATGAACAAAAATAAGCGGGTAAGATTTTCCTGGAGCAGTTCACAGTCTAGCCTCACTAGACAGGTTAAAATTGAAGTAGAATTGGCAGTATAGTATCCTCATGTTTTATGATATTTTGCATGATATGTATTAGGCACTTTGATATAAAAATATTAACAAAGTCTCATTTTATATGCAAAATGTATGGCCTGAGAGTAATAGCTTGTTGGAAAGATAGTATGACTAAAGGGAAGACAGGTGCTAATAGTCAAGACAATGGGGGCATGTCCCCAAAGGTATTTCAGAAATCTTCCAGGCAGCCCCTTTCATCACAGGCACAGAGGCCTAGTAAGAAAGAATGGTTTCAGGGGCCAGGCCCTGTGCTGTCTTGGAACACTTCTCCCTGCATCCCAGCGACTCCACCTCTAGCTATGGCTCGCGTGGCCACAGGTACTACCTTGACAGCTTCCATGTGATGTTAAGTCTGCAGGTGCACAGCATGCAAAAACCATGGAGGCTTGGCAGCTTCCACCTACCTAGATTTCAGAGAATGTATCAGAAAGCCTGGGTCCCCAGGCAGAAGCCTGCCACAGGGGCAGAGCCCATACAAAGAGACTCTATTAAGGCAGTGCCAAGGGGAAGTATGGGATTAGAGCCCCTACAGAGAGACCATACTAAGGCAATGCCAATGGGAAATGTGGGGTTGGAGTCCCCTCAGAGAGTACCCACTCTGAGGCAGTATCCACACTGCCTAGTGGCGATGTGAAAATAAGACCACTTCCCTTGAGCCTCCTAGAATGGGAGAGCCACTGGCAGCATGCACCCTTAGTCTGGAAACCCACAGACATTGAACCCCAACCCGAGAGCGCAGCCATGTGATCTGGACCCTGCAAAGCCACCAGGACAGAGCTGCTTGAGGCTTCGGTGGCCCAACACTTGTACCAGTATGCCCTAGATGGGACATGAAACATGGAGTCAAAGACTATTTTGGAGAGTTAAGTTTTAATATCTGCCCTGCTGGGTTTCTGACATGTTTGAGGTCTGTTACTTTTGGCCCATTTCTCCCTTTTGGAATGGAAGTGTTTACCCAATGCCTGTACCACCATTGCATCTTAGAAGTATCTAAGAGTTTTATCTTAGAGCTTCAGATAAGACTTTGGCCTTTGGATTTTTCAGTTGGTGCTGGAATAAGACTCTGGGGGGATGGTTGAGATGGAATGATTGTATTTTGAATGTGAGAAAGACATGAGATTTGGGGTGCCAGGGGTAAAAAGATGTAGCTCGGATATATGACCCCTCCAAATATCATGTAAAAATTTGATATCCCATGTTGGAGGTAGGGCCTAAAGGGAGGTGTTCAGGTCATGGGAGCAGATCCCTCATGAATAGCTTTGTGATATCCTCACAAGAATGAGTGAGTTCTCACTATTAGTTCCCATGAGAACTGATTAGTCAAAAGAACCTGGCACCTCCCTTACCCCTCTCCCTCTTTCTTCCTCTCTCCCCATCTGACACCTGCTTTCTTTCACCTTCTGCCATGAGTAAAAACTTCCTGCTTCTTCATTAGAAGCAGATGCTGATGCTATGCTTCTTGTACACCCTGCAGAACAATCAGTCAAATAAACCCTTTATAAAATTACTCAGCCTCAGGTATTCCTTTGTAGCAACACAAACGAACAAACACAGGACATTAAACTTCTTTCATGAATAATTTGCCATTTCCTCTGCACACTAGGCTACTTCATCCCTGTGTCATCTCACATGCTGTTCCCTCTGCCTAAAAGACCTTTTACCCCCTGTCTAATATGTGGTTATCCTTCCTGACACCTCTTTCAGGAAGCGTTCCCTGATTCCAGCACAGAATGCATTAGGTACCCATCCTCTGGGTTCCTACATCACCTTGTGCACTTCGTGTCAGAGCAGTAGATACCGTTTATTGCAATAGTCTGCTTAATTGCTCTACATGTTTTTTTTAATTGAGAGCTTAAGGTGGCAGAAACTATGCTACTTATCTTTGTAATCACAGTCCCTGAGATAGTGGTTGCTAATGTTTACTGAAGGAATAAAAGAAAAAAAAAAGGAACGGCAAGAAAGTACTCGCTCTATAATTTCACCAAGCATAAACCTCAAAACACTTGAAGAAGGAATTCCTCTCCCACAAGATAAAGCAACATCTGGCAGGCATCTGCAAGTCCCCCTCTGTTGAGAAACTTCTGGGAAATCAGAAATGCATGTAATAAAAGGTTTGGGATTTTTTTCTTTCACAGTGTTCACTGAGCCCCATGGAGAACCGTAGGGAGGGGCTCAGGATAGCAGCCAAGCAGAACCTGATTATAGATCAGCTGTCAGACTGCAAAAGAAATCGTTCTCATTCTGGACAGATTGCTTACTGAGGATCATTAACCATTTAGGACACAGCATAGTTTTTTTTTGTTGAAATTTCTTTCTAACCTAGCAATATGAAAATGAAACCCCATTATGACAAAATCATCTTTTATTGGTTATCAGAATCTCATCCTTCAAGTGTGATCAGGGAGAATTTAAGATTGTCTTCCAATCCTCGAGTTAGCCAGAATGAATAAAATAGTCATTCTATTTGAGAGGGGATGAGAATTAGGCTTAGAATAGGTGGTCCCTATCTATGTATGTAGATTGAGCTCTTACTATATGCAGAAAACATTACATACACTGTTATATTTATTCTTTTTTTTTTTTCTTTTTTGAGACAGTTTCACTCTTGTTGCCCAGGCTGGAGTGCAATGGCATGATCTCAGCTCACAGCAACCTCCGCCTCCCGGGTTCAAGCGATTCTCTTGCCTCAGCCTCCTGAGTGGCTGGGATTACAGGCATGCCCCACCATGCCTGGCTAATTTTGTATTTTTAGTAGAGACAGGGTTTCTCCATGTTGGTCAGGTCTGCAACTCCCGATCTCAGGTGATGTGCCGGCCTGGGCCTCCCAAAGTGCTGGGATTACGGGTGTTATATTTATTCTTAACACAATGAGGTAGTTACCATTGTAATGAGGAAAATGGATCACAAATGACACAGAAGTAGGATTAGAGCCAGGATCTGATTTTATTTAATTAGCGTATGCATGCAACAAATAAACAATTATTGACTGAATCATGTAATTTATATCCCAGGGATACTGAATTGAGAAAAATGCAATCATGCAATCATGACCCATAGTATCATACAACTTCCAGTCCAGTAAAGCATTAATTATGATGAATTGGGATACTGGATACTGTCATCACATAGAACCAAGGATGTTAGTCTGTGGGCTCAAGGCTGGCTTCTTGGAAGAAGTAACATTTAAGGCAGTTCCTGCAGGAAAGGTGGAGGTAAGACAGGTGATAATGGGGGAAGGGCTTTCCCACACAGAAAAGGAGAAAGTCCCGGAGTTGAGAAAGAAAGGGCATGACTTGGCTGGGCACAGTGCCTCACACCTGTAACCCCAGCATTTTGGGAGGCCGAGGCGGGTGGATGATTTGAGGTCAGGAGTTCAAGACCAGTTTGGCCAACATGGTGAGACTCCGTCTCTACTAAAAATACAAAAATCAGCTGGGCATGGTGGCAGGCACCTGTAATCCCAGCTAGGTGGCTGAGGCAGGAGAATCGCTTGAACCCAGGAGGCGGAGGTTGCACTGAGCTGAGATTGCGCCATTGCACTCCAGCCTGGGTGACAGAATGAGACTCCGTCAAAAAAAAAAAAAAAAGAGAGAAAGAAAGAAGGGAGGGAGGGAAGGGCATGACTTGCTGGAGGATGGGCAGGGGGACTACAGTGAGGGAGGGTTTTGAGAGTCAAGGATTAAAGATCAGCAAGAGCCAAAGGGCTTATCAGCCACAGGATGGAGCTGGATGTCATGCTGCCCACATGGAAGGCCACTGAGTGTCCATCTGGGGAGAATACTGGAAAATAATAACTATGACCATGGCCCACTTGCCATGTACTAGGTGCCTCCGAACCAGTGCACAGACACTGACATGTTGCCACGTGTCACCGTATGACTGATCATCCAAATAACGACACTTTTTTTCTTTGAGACAGTCTCATTCCATCACCCAGGCTGCAGTGCAGTGGCCTGATCTTGATTCACTGCAGCCTCAGCCTTTCGGGTTCAAGCAATTCTCATGCCTCATCCTCCCAAGTAGCTGGGATTACAGGTGTGTGCCACCACGCCCGGCTAATTTTTTTTTTAGTAGAGATGAGGCTTTGCCGTGTTGGCCAGGCTGGTCTCGAACTCCTGACCTCAAGTGATCTGCCTACCTTGGCCTCCCAAAGTAATGAGATTATAAGCATGAGCCACTGCGCCCAGCCAGGACAATTCTTATAAGATGGCATTATTAATAAGTATGCTGGGACACAATGCAAAAACTGGGACTGTTCCAAGCAAGTATTGTCACCCTATGTTTAACCCCTGTAACAAACCCATGATGTAGGCACTATTATTATCTCTATTTTGTAGATGAGGAAACAGAAGCTTAGGGCTGGCAAGTAACTTACCCAAAAGGACAGTAAGCATGCCTGTCTGAGAAGTGACATTTCAGATCTGCCTCCTTTGAAAGATTTTTTTTTATTGATGCTACTAATATTGATTGATTTTCTACTCTGTGCCAGGTACTCAGGATACAGCAGCAAACACAAGAGACATAGTGTCTGCCTTAATGAGGCTTCATTCTAGTGGAATGGAGCTAATGGAATCACAGAACTTACAGCTTATCTGTCTAGAAGACAAACCAAAGAAATAAATATGCAACGTAAAGTCAAAGTAGTGGTAATTGCTAAGCAGGGTAATGAGATGGAGCAGTGGTTCTCAACCAGGAATGATTTTGCTTCCCTGGAGGACATTTGGCAATGTCTGAAGATATTTTTGGTTGTCACAACTGAAGGAGGTGGTGTTAGTATCTAGCGAGTAGAGGCCAGGGATGCTGCTTAACATCATATACTATACAGGACCAGCACCCTTATCCCACAAAAACACAGAATTATCCAGCCCCAAATGTCAATAGTGCCAAGGTTAAGACACCCTAACACACACACACACACACACACACACACACACACAAACACACATGTGTAGATATGTATGTATATCTCAATCATACATAAATACAGACAATAACATGATATAATTAACCCCAATGTACTCATCGCCCAGCTTCAATAATTATTAACCCATGGCCAGGGATTTTATTAATCTCTCTTTCCCCTTCCCTATTACTAGATTATTTTGAAGTAAATTCTAAACATAATAACACCGCCTCTAAAATTTTTAAGTATGCATTTCTGAAAACTGAAAACTTTTAAAAACACAATCACATCATTATAACACTTAAAATAATAGCAGTAATTTCTCTAACATTGCCGCACACTCAGTATTAACATTTTCTCAATCATGTCATCTTTTTATTTTTACATTGGTTTTTATGCAGTTTGTTTGAAGCAAGATCCAAATGGGGTCAGTACAGCTAAACCTTGGTTGATATATCCCTTAAGTCTCGATGGAAGCCAGAATTGTGTGACCAATTTTTGGATGAATTGATGCTGAGGATGTAGTCTGGCTCCAAGAAATGGGATGTTGGTGTTCTTGATCAAGATGGTTAATATTGGAGGACAGGCAGGATCAGGGTTGTGGTGAGTGGTGGGAAAAAGATAATAATTTTGGCTCTAATGGACCCATGAGACACTCAAGTAAAAAATTCCACTTGAAAAAGAGAAGAGACAAACATCTAGAAAAGAGCCTTGAGAAGCCCACTCATTGGAGGAACACTGAAAAAAGAAGCTATCAAAGGAAGCAAAGAGAGTGGCTCCAGAGATGTCAGAGGAAAACCAAGAGAAAAATGTTGTGGAGGGACAACAATTCTGTTTGATTCTTTCTACTAAGACAGACAGACAGACAGCCACCTTACCTCTGCCCCACTCCCCGCCCCAAACACACACATGCACACACTTCACCACCACCACCAGCAAAAATCCTCCTGCCTACTATTTCTCTATAAATATTTCCAAACTGAAGTATATTAACTCTACATCGAGAAAATAAAATCTTATTGAAATCATTCAGATGATGCATAGCTTCATGTTATGATTGATAAACACATTACAAGTAGATAAAAGCTGGAATTTAAGAGATGATATTGATTTTATTAATTTAACCCCAATTAAAGTTTCTCTAAGCAGCTTGCCCTGCTATTAACAATCACGTTATAAAGTTAAAGACCGCAATTACTGTAAGAAGTGAGTAATGAAAAGGTGGGCTATTAAGATTCTCTGAGAATTTGGAAGAAACACTTCCCCTACAGAAATCCAACAAGCTATCAGGGCACTCTTGTTCAGCAGAACAAAGAACAAAACTATTTTGCTTATTTTATAATAAATAACAAGAACAACCCTACTTCCATGTCCTAAAAACTGAGAAGATCTAAGAGAAATATAAAAATGGTAAAAAAAAGAAATAAAATAGTGATACAATTAAAAACCAAATAGATACAAAAATCTAAAGATGGTCATTAATGGCATTCATGCATAACGACTATATCTAAGTGGGCTCTGCAAAATCATCCCAGACTCTCAATTTTCTACTCCTGTGCCTAATTCATTCACTGAGTTCGCATTTCCACTACTTGGGGAATAGTACAGTGGAGAGCAAAGAATACAGGCCTTGGATTTACACATCCAGGATCATATCTTGGCTCTGCCACTTATTAATTGTGTGACCTTAGACAAGTCATTGAACCTGTCTGTGCCTTCTTGTGCACCTCTTTAAATGGGATAAGAACGGAACCCTTCTCATAATTTTTTTCAGACGCTGATTTATTTTTTGTTTTTCATTGATACATAACAGCTATGCATATTTTAATGGTATATAGGATGATCTGATCCATTCATATAATCAAACCAAAGTGACTGAGATATCCATCAGCTTGCCTCATAGTTTTAAATAGTAAATATAAGCAAAGAATTTAGAATAGGGCTTAGCTTTCACTAGATGTTTCATCAACATTAGGTGCTGTGATATTGTTGTTTTTATAACTATAATTATCTTTTTACAAGCAGGTAAATGTTTTCAGAGTTGTGGTCATTATAGAAAAAAAGAAGGCAAATCAAGGGACCAGGATTGTGTATGACCACAGATGAAACTGAATTTTCCTTTGCTTGGACCCATGCATCTTCATAAATTAGTGGTCTTCTCAGCTTTATTTTCTTTCTGAGCGTAATATTCACTCCTAAAGAATGTGCTTTATCTCTACCACCATCATCTCTCACCTGCCTCTTAATAAGGCTCTGCTTTCATCCTTGCCACTCACAGTGCAGTTTGTACATAGAAGCTATAAGGATTCTTTTAATAAAGTTAGACCATGCACTCACTCCTTGGCTCCAGACACTGTGATTATGCCCAGTTTCTCTAGAGTGACAATGTCCTTACAATGAACATCTAGGCCCTCCAGCCCATGTTACCTCTCTGTTTTCCTGGTGCTCTGCCCTCCCTCACTCCACGCCAGCCCCTCTGGCTTACTTGCTGCTTCTCAAACCCATTAGACATGCTCCAGCCTCAGCACTTTTGCTTTAGCTATTTCCTCTGCCTAGGATGCCCTTCCCATGTTTACCCACTTTAGTAACCCACTTACCTACTTCATGTCTTTGCTCAAATAGCTCTTCTCAATGAAACCTACACCAAACACCCTATTTAATAAAGCTACCTGCCTCTGCCAACCAAATCTCTTGGCCCTCTTGATTCCCCTAGCCCAACATTACTGTGACCACCATTACCCCTCACCCAAATCGCACCATAGCCTCCTAACAGGATCCCTGCTTGTACCCTTGCCACCATTATATTTCTCATAGCAACCAGAATGTGGATCACTTATTATTTGCAAGTATACTACATAATTTACTTAATTTCTGTGCATATTGTTTATGGCCTACCTTCCCCTGCTAGAATGTCCAGGAAGGAAGAGATCTTTGTTTGTTTCAATGATATAAGCCCCTAATACAGTGCTTGGCACACACAGGAGATCCTCAAAGCATGAACCATGAACCAATATCTTCAGTTCTTTTTCAGGCCACTTGGTAGCTGGACCCCCTAGCCAATGAGAGCCTTGGGAGTTGCTATGGTTTGAATGTTTGTGTTCCTCCAGTATTAAAAGGTGGGACTTTTGGGGGATTAATAGGTCATGAGGGCCCCACTGTCATGAGTGGAATTAATACCCTTGTAAAAGAATCAGAAGGAACTAGCTGGGCCCCTTTGCCCTTTTGCCTTTTCCACCATGCGAAGATGCTGCAAATAGACACCATCAGTGAGACAGGCACTCACCCAACATTGAATGTTTTGGTGCCATGATCTTGATCTCATCCTTCCAGAACAGTGAGAAATAAAATCTCCATCATTCACAAATTACCCAGTGTAAGTTATTTTGTTATAGTAGCAGGAACATACTAAGACGGAAATATTTATTCATTCATTCAATTATTCACCTAGTCTACTAAGATGTAATGAATGCCCATTATGTTTTGGGCTCTCAATTGGGCAAAACAATGAGATGTGATCTCTACCTCTTCCCACCTCCCATTATTTTCATATTTCTTCCTCACTTAGCATCTTAATTTTGCCCAATATGCAATGTTCTTTCAAACTCTGAAGACTTTGTACCTATGATTTCCTTTGCCCAAACAATAAATAATAATGAATAATAGCTAACACTTATTGAGTGCACTATTCTAAGTGTTTTATGTGTATTTACTAATTTTCGTAACAATGCAACGAATTGGGTACTATTAGTGTCCCCATGTCTAAACTAGAAGAATTTGAGGCCCAGAATGATGAACTAAATTGCCTAATGCTATGTAACTAGTAAGTGAGGCATTTATGATTAAAACATGGGCCATTTGATCCTAAAATATTTCCTCTTATAACCAACATACAATAAAGAAGTAATATGGTTTGGCTCTGTGTCCCCACCCAAATCTCACCTTGAATTGTAATAATCCCCACATGTCATGGGAGGGACCTGGTGGGAGGTAATTGAATCATGGGAGTGGAGTTTTTCCCATGTCATTCTCACAATAGTGAATAAGTCCCACGAGATCTGATGGTCTTATAAGGGGGAGTTGCCCTGCACATGCCCTCTTCCCTGCTGCCATGTAAGATGTGCTTTTGCTCTTCCTTCATCTTCTGCCATGATTGTGAGGATCCCCAGCCATGTGGAACTATGAGTCCATTAAACTTCTTTTCTTTATAAATTACCCAGTCTTTGTTATATCTTTATTAGCAGCATGAGAACAGAGTAATACAACAAGTGTCCTTTTTTTTTATATGCCCCAAATATTGTTTTAGGGGCATATAAAGGGGGCATATAAATTAGAAGTTATGAACTCAGATGCATTCAGGAAGCAGACAGATAACAAAAATATGTGAAGGTGTTAGTTGAAATGAAAAGGAGTGATTGACCTCTTGTATATCAGAGACTTATCCAGTTTTCTTACAACACTGTGTGAGTCAAGCAAAATGTGTTTCCGCTGGATTAAGTTTGTAGGTTTGGAATTAGCAATGCTGCTTTGGATATATTTCAGATGTTATATTGCCCAACCAATGTTAGCCACTCCCGCTTTGGAGTTCCCATAGCCTTCATGTACTTAGTGTATCATCTGTGATAGCACTGAGTAGGTTGTGAACACACAGCTGACTGAGCACCTGCATGTGTCAGGCACCTGCAATATGAAGGTGCCTAAGAGAATCAAGCACACTGGCCTCTGGAAACTTCAGTCTACTAGGAAGGCAGATATACACTAATGGTATTCAAGTATTACAGTTACAGTGATAGAACATGTTCAGAGTTGAGTAGGGGAACAAAAAAGAGAGAGGTGAAAATGATCAGTAAAGGCCCTCAAGAAGTTAGTAGGTATTGAGTCTTTAAGGTTGAACAGATGAACACCCATCAGATGAAGAAACAGAGGAACCAGGAGACAAAGGCATTCCAGGCAGGATGAATATCATGAAGGCTTGAAATATCCTGGAGTTATCAGGGAAATTCAGGAATATTCATATGACCAGACTAAATAGGGACCTATAAGGACAAGGGATAGGCAGCAAATCAAAAGACAAGGCAAGGGTTTTTGTCTAGTCATGAAATTTACCCTGTGGGCCAAAGAAACTACTGAAGGGTTTTGAGATAATGGGCAACATGGACAGGATAGGTATAAGATTATTTAAATGGGTGGGTGGGTGGGAGGTAAGTTACCTTTGGATTTTTCTGGATGGGAAAGGAAACAATGAGAGACAGACTGTAGAGATGGAAAGCATATGGAATCTCAAGAACTTGTGAACTGATTGGGTCCAGAAGATAGAGAAAGAGTCTACAGGGATGTCCAGATTCTTGGCTTAGGTGGCGGATACATGGTAATGTTATGCCCAGATACAGAGAGCATGGTTGGAATAGAATGATTTGGGGGAACACACACTAAGTTCAGTAGAATTTGAGGTTCTTGAGAAAGAACTGGGTGGAGATTCCTAGTAAGAAGGTTTTAACACATAGATCTGACACTCAAAGAACAGCTCTTGGCAGTAGTTGAATTAATGAGAACAGATGAGTTCAAGTGGGTGCAGAGTAAATACAGAAAGAAACTATGGGGTCTAGCACAGGACCCTAGGGAAACAAGAAGACATAAGGAGCAAGAAGAGAAAGATACGCCTCCAAAAGCAGCTGAACAAAAGTATGGTGGGAGATAAAAGAAGAATCATGACAGAGAGAACCCAAGCCAACACCAATGAAGATGCCAAAGTACCCACTGCATGTATCAATTTATCAATAGAGTGGTCAACCATGACCTTTGCCAGGCAATGACAGTCAATAGGCATTGAAGAAGATCCTGAATCTAGTGGTTGGATGATGATATGGTCTGGCTCTGTGTCCCCACCCAAATCTCATCTTGAATTGTAATTCAAATTGTAATCCTCATGTGTTGGGGGAAGGACCTCATGGGAGGTGATTAGATCACGGGGGTGGTTCCCCCATGCTGCTCTCATGGTAGTAAGTTCTCAAAAGATCTGATGGTTTTATAAGGGGCTTTTCCCCATTCACTCGGCACTTCTCCTTCCTGCTGCCACGTGAAGAAAGACGTATTTGCTTCCTCTTCTGCCACAATTCTAAGATTCCTGAGGCCTCCCCAGCCACACCGAACTGTGAGTCAATTAAACCTCTTCCCTTTATAAATTACCCAGTCTCAGGTATGTCTTTATTAGCAGCATGAGAACAAACTAATAGAGATGATGAAAAGTGAATGAGTGGAAATGAGGAGCTTGGCTCTGAAGATGAAAGAGGAAAGTGATTCAAGGGAAATGAATGATTGGGGGTGAGTTTTCTCACTACTGATAACACCAGAACAGGTTTCCTTTCTGGGGGGGGAAGTGGTCAAGAGTAAGGGAGAGTCTCTAACAACAGATTGAACAGTGGCTGGGTTGAGATGGCAAGGCAGCACAGGTGGAGAATGTCATATGCAGAAGACAGAAGAACACTGCCTCTGAGACTGGGAAAAAGAAGGTAAAAGTGCAGATAAAGATATATATTTAGGTAGCTCACCAGGAAGTGTAGGGAGGTTCCATCTGACACCATTAACTCTCTCTAAGCAGAAGGAAGAAAAGCCTGCCACTTAGAGCACTGTCTTCACAGCTGCACAGCACACACCTCCACAGAGATGCTATAGGCTTTTGTCTTCAGGTGTCCTTGTTATTTCCCTGTCATTTGGAGGACTTCTGTTTCCACAACAACAGGCTGCAGCATTTTAGGCCAATTTTTAAAGTGTGTGTATATGTGTGTGTATGGAGTTGAGCGTTCTGGTAAATGCAGTGTGAGTATGGGCTGGAGTATGTACGAGTATCTATAGTAGGCGTTTATGTAATTGCATGTGTAGATAACTAAGTTGATGAGAGTATGAGTTATTTTTGTGCTCCAGTGTGTGGAGAAGGAGACACAGCAAGTGAGTGTGAGTACCCCTTGAGGTATGAGTGTGTGTGAATATATTACTACACTGGTGTATACATAAAGAGAAGTGTGGTGTATTGGGCATGGGTGTGAGTTTCTGTAGAGAATAGCCTAGAGGTGCATGAATTTCGAGTGTGTGTGTGAGCAAGTGAGTAGGAAAATGCCTCTCTGTGTGTATATATGTGTGATGGTATTTGTGCACATGGAGATTTAAGAATGTGTGTGGATTTGTGCACATGGAGATTTAAGAGTGTGTATATGAGTCTGAGTGTACATGCCTGGGTATGTACCAGAGCATATATGACTAGCCTATGCAGTCTAGTTAAAAATGTCTGTTATTCTCACTTTCATTATCTGAACAGATTTTAAGTTTTACTCAAGCTCTCTTCTTTTATGTCCATATTCCCTAACAGCTGATCTTAGCTTCACCTGGTGTCAGCAGAAATCACATGCATAGGGACTGCATGGGAACCCTGCAAGGGTGTCATTGTGAGAGTAAAAATGAGCGAGTGCACATCAGAAAGTGTGTGAGACAGTGTGGGTACGTATGTTTGTGTCTGCATATAATTTGTATGTGAGAGCTGACAGTGCTTTGAGAGAAAAGGGACAGAGCTCCACTTTCTTTCAATAAGCATTTATAGAGCAAATTCCATGTGTCAATCGTTGTTCCGGGTGCCAGAACACAATAGTAAACAGAACAGCCATAGACCCTGCTCTCCTGAAGTTTCTGTTCTAGTAAAAAGTGACTGACCATAACTTAATAAACTGACATGTAACATGTCAGTGCTAAGAAGTACTAAAAAAAAAAAAAAAAAAAGCAAATAAGGGGGACTGAGAGTGATGAAAGGCACTCTTACATAGGATGGTCCAGGAAGACCTCTATAAGGAGGTCACATCCAACTCGAGGCTGGTTTGGGCTGATGGAGCAAACCATGAGCTAGCTGGGCAAAAAGTGTTCTGGGCAAAGAGAGACCAAGTGCCTCTGAAGGAGAAAGGCTCTTGGTAAGCTTGCGAGAAAGAAGAAGGCCAGTGTGGCTGGAACAACGGAAGGGACTGGGAGGAGATGAAATTTTAAGAAGGATCAAGAGTCATAGCACATGTGGCCTTAAGGTTACAATAAAGATTTGGGATACTTTGAGATAGTGAGAATTCAGATGAGAGTTTTATCAGAGAAATGCCGTAAACTGACATGTGTTTTATGAAGATTTTTTTTTCTGCTCGCTATACAGTTTAGATTCTAAAAAAGCAAGAATAGAAGCAGGGAAACTGGATCAGTAGGAGTCTATAGTCAAAGTCAGTGGCAGGGGAGACTGTGAGAAGTTGTCAGATTATAGACACTTTCTAAAGGTAGATCAGACAGGACGTGATGATGTGCTGGGATGCGGTGTGAGAAAAAGAAAGGAAAAAGTAGAAGTCAAAAGTTCTGGCTTCAACAATTGCAAGGATGAAGGCACCACTTACAAAGATAGAGAAGGATAAAGAAAGAATTAGGGATGAAGTCAAGAATAAGTCACTGGACATGGTAAGTTTGAGCTGTCTGTTCGATTCCTTAGTGGCAGTTCCTAAGTAAGCATTGCATGAGTCTGGAATTTGAAAACGAGCTCTGAGTGGGAACCAAAACTGCAATAATTATCATCCTATAGATGATATTTAAAGCTTTGAGACTGAATAGAAACATGTGGGGAGCACCTATAACTGAGTCCAGGGGGACAGGTAGGGAGGTGCCCCAATATTCAGAGTTCAGGAAGTGGCAAAAGTTTCCACGAAAGAAAATGGGAAGGTAAAACTAGAAAGAGAGCAGAAAAACCATTTGATTCTGCTGTCCTAGAATCCCAATAAAAATATTTCATTGAGAAGGGAGGCACATATCAGATGCTGCCAATAAATTCATTAGGTGAAGGCTGAGAATTGACCCCTAGACTTGGCAATGTGGAAGTTATTAATAACTTTGACTTGTGCCGTCTATGCAGAGGTGAGGATGGCATCTTGATTGGAGCAGGCTTAAGGGATGCAATATGCTGGTTGATGGGCTTTGGGATCTGGGACAGGCTCAACTCAGTTTATGATGGAAAGAGCCATAAGGTAGCAAGAACAGCTCTGATGGCCATGTGGCTTACTGGTTGAGTAGGATATGGAGTGGTAGCTCATCCTTGGTTACAAAATAAGACAGAGCTGTGGAAGCAATTGCCTTTAGGGAAGACAAACATGTAATAACATTCTCCACAGGCTGACTTTGAAAAGAGGGACTTTACAATTTCATTTTCAGAGTTAGCCAGCATGTGTTAAGGAAAGAAAGGCACCCTATAGTGGATCCTAACTGCAAGAGCTCAAGATCTCCAAGTCCATCCTCTCTATAGAGGAGAATCAAGGCCCAAAAAAAGCACTATGACTTGGCCAACTCCCTTAGCAAGCCAGGGTAGCATAACCTTGAGGGCTTATGACTCCAGGGTCTTACTTCTCCTTCTCATAAGTGGTGAGATTACTGGGCCCAGGTGTCCCCCACCAGAATCTTTAAAATATTCTCCCCATGATACTTGAAATTGTCTTTTTGGAATTTAATTATTTTAGGCAAGCATTTGAATTCTTCTAGAATATAAATTCCTACTGATCCTCAGGCATTTAATTTTTCATCACTCAGGCGGTCTTTATTGTAAATGATGGTGTATTAGGGTTCTCCAGAGGGACAGAACTAATAGGTTATATATGTAGAGGAGTTTACTAAGGAGTATTAAACTCACACAATCACAAGGTTCCAAAATAGGCCATCTGCAACCTGAAGAGTAAGGAAGCCAGTCTAAGTCCCAAAGCTGAAGAACTTAAAGTCCGACGTTCAAGGGCAGGAAGCATCCAGCATGGGAGAAAGATGTAGGCTGGGAGGCTAAGCCAGTCTAGTATTTTCATGTTCTTCTGCCTGCTTTTATCCTAGCCATGCTGGCAGCTAATTAGATTGTGCCCACCCAGATTAACAGTGGGTCTGCCTTTCCCAGCCCACTGACTCATATGTTAATCTCCTTTGGCAACACCCTCACAGACACAGCCAGGATCAATACTTTGCATCCTTCAATCCAATCAAGTTGACACTCAGTATTAACCAACACAAGTTCACCCCTTGTCAATTTGAACCCATATACATCTCCTGAGATCATACATAATCTTCAAATAAAGACAATAATAAGGTCATAATTACACCTAACATAATACAACTACCCTTTGTACAACCAGAAATGCATCAATTCCCAACCCAAATGGTATTAAAGTTAACAACACTTAAATGCTGACATAAAGTCAATAAATCTTATGTCACATGACAAAGGAAAAAGGAAATAAAATGAAGGAATTTTCTTAGTACAAGTGTATACATACACAAACATGTTTTTAACAAAAGAAGAAGGAAATGCTCTTGACAATTACAGTCCTCGTTTCTGCAAGTGGTCACATAGTCATAGCTGGTATTGATGACTACCTTCTTCTACTACCCATTTTGTATTCCCTTTGCCTTCAGCAAGCACCTCAGCAGGTCATGGTTTTTTTCCCGGTGGAGTGACCCAAACCTTCATTCCTGAAGGGTCTGGGCCATTTGTAGTCCTTCCTGGATTGGGCTCCTGTAGTTTCCCATTGACCTTAATTACAGGGCATGGTAAGATTAAGAGATGCCCCAAGAGATTTCCTGTATTGCACACATACTGTTCCTTATTTCCACTGTGGAGCAGTAGACTGATTTCATCTTGATAGTCTGGGTCAATCACCCCAGCCAACACTGTAACTCCCTTCTTAGCCTGTTGACTTAAGGGTAGGAGAAGCCCGAAGTGTCCGGGTGGCAATCTTAACTTCCACTCTAATGGAATAGTTGTATGTTTCCTTGTGGCAGTGTTCCTCCTCTGGAACTAAGACCTCTAGGCCAGCAGAACATTATGTCACAGGAACAGGGAGCAAAAATTTTGCTAGTGGATCACTAGGGGTGATGGGGTACATGGTAAGACGAGTGAATTCCATAAGCATGAATTCATGAGCCCACTGACACACATCTTTAGCCATAAAGTGAGTGCCTTGGTCAAAGGCAATGCTGTGTGGAATACCATGATGGTACATAAGGCATTCCATAAGTCCATGGATGGTAGTCTTGGCAGAAGCATTGCATGCAGGACAGGCAAACACATATCTGGACTATTCCAGTGAGGACAAACCTCTGCCCTTTCCATGATGGAAGAGGTCCAATATAATCAACCTGCCACCAAGTAGCTAGCTTATCACCCAGAGGAATGGTGTCATATTGGGGGCTCAGTGTTGGTCTTTGCTGCTGGCAAATTGGGCATTCAGCAGTGGCACTAGCCAGGTCAGCCTTGGTGAGTGGAAGTCGATGTTGCTCAACCCACGCATAACCACCATCCCTGCCACCATGGCCACTTTGTTCATGGGCCCACTGGGCAATGATGGAGGTGGCTGGGGAAAGAGGCTGAGTGGTGTCCACAGAATAAGTCATCCTATCCACTTGATTTTGTGTTGTTGTTGTTGACGACGTTGTTGTTGGTTGTTATTGTTGAGACTGAGTCTCGCTCTGTTGCCCAGGCTGGAGTGCAGTGGTGTGATCTTGGCTCAATGCAACCTCTGCCTCCTGGGTTCAAGTGATTCTCCTGCCTCAGCCTCCTGAGTAGCCGGGATTACAGGCACCTGACACCATGCCCGGCTCATTTTTTGTATTTTTAGTAAAGACAGGGTTTCACCATGTTGGCCAGGCTGGTCTCAAACTCCTGACCTGGTGATCCACCTGCCTTGGACTCCCAAAGTGCTGGGATTACAGGCGTGAGCCACTGTGCACTGCCTATCCACTTGATTTTTTAAATTCTCCTCTGCTGAGGTCACCTTTTGGTGAGTACTCACATGGGATACAAATATCTTCACAGTTTTTGACCACTCAGAGAGGTCTGTCCACATACCTCTTCCCCAAATTTCTTTGTCACCAATTTTCCAATCATGGTTCCTCCAAGTCCCTGATTGTCCAGCCAAACCATTGGCTACAAGTTCCACGAATCAGTATATAATTATATATCTGGCCATGTCTCCTTCCATGCACAGCACACAACCAGGTGCACTGCTCAAAGAAACAGCTACCCCATCCCCAGTAGTGGCAACATCCCCTCCCTGACCCATGCTGCCAACAGCATTTCCACTTTTGTCTGAGGAGATAAACTCTGCGCTGCCTGAGGCAACAGTAATGGCCTCCCCCGAGGTAGTTACCAGGCAAGATGATGTTGATTCTTCTCAGGAGCCACCCCCAACACCCCTGTTTGCTTCTAGACCTATAACTAGACTAAAGTCCCAGCGGGCCCCTAGAGGTGAGGTTCAGAATGTGACCCATGAGGAGGTGTGCTACACTCAAAAAGAACCTGTTTTCTAACTTACATAAGCAGAAATCTGGAGAACAGGTATGGGAATGGACATCAAGGGTATGGGATAATGGTGGAAGGAATACAGAGTTGGACCAGGCTGAATTTATTGATTTAGGCCCACTAAGTAGGGAGTCTGCATTTAATGTTGCAGCTCGGGGATTTAAAAAAGGTTCTAATTATTTGCTTGGTTAGCCAAAATATGGATTAAAAGATGGCCCACTGTGAGTGAGCTGGAAATACCTGATCTCCCTTGGTTTAATGCAGAGGAAGGGATCCAAAGGCTTAGAGAGATTGGGATGGTGGAGTGGATTAGTCACTTTAGATCTACTCATCTCAGCTGGGAGGGTCTAGAAGAGGTACCCTTGACCAATGCTTTGCAAAACAGATTTGTGAGGGCAGCACTTGCATCTTGAAGAGCCCTGTAATTGCTCTTCTCTGTATGTCAGATCTAACAGTGGGAACCTCAGTCACTTAACCACAAAATTTAAATGCAATGGGAATAATTGGATCCTGAGGTGACAGGGACCAAGTGGCAGCACTCAATCATCAAAGGCAAGGTGGGCATAGATACTGTAATGGACAGCAGAGGCAAAGTAGCAATCAGAAGAGTCTGACTTGTGTAGAGCTCTGGCATTGGCTAATTAATCCTGGTGTTCCTAGAAGTGAAATTGATAGGAAGTCTACTGCATTCCTACTTAATTTATATAAGCAGAAAACTTCCAGGTCAAGTGAACAAAAAACTAATTTGATTTATAAAAACAGAGAATCACTGCCCCTCAATTTCCAAACTTGAGCCAATTTATAGACCCAGAACCCCTTGAATGAAGTGGAGGCCAGGTCCCCTTGGGGAAGAACCCCACTCTTGGTACCAAAATCTGTATTAAGGGTGGGCCTGCCTTCCCAGCCCACTGACTCAAATATTAATCTCCTTTAGCAACACCCTCACAGACACACCCAGGATCAATATTTTGCATCCTTCAATCCAATCAAGTTGACACTCATTAACCATCACAGAACGATTTGACATTAGTGTGTTTTACCAGGAATGGGCCAAGAACATATGAAGGTCCTTGTACTGTCACAAAGATGACAGAATCAGAACAGGGGTGATCTGGGGGTCCTAACATTACCAGGAGTCCTGATCCAGGCCCCAAGGAGGGTTCTTGAACCTCGCACAAGAAACAATTCAGGGACAGTCCATAAAGTGAAAGCAAGTCGATTAAGAAAGGAATAAAGAATGGCTACTTCATAGGCAGAGCAGTGGCAGGGGACACTCAGCTACTTATACTCATTGTTACTTCTTGATTATATGCTAAATAAGGGATGGATTATTCATGAGTTTTCCAGGAAAGGGGTGGGCAGTTCCTGGAACTGAGGGTTCCTTCCCTTTTTAGACCATATATGGCAATGTCCTGATGTTGCCATGACATTTGTAAACTGTCATGGTGCTGGTAGGAGTGTCTTTTAGCATGCTAATGCATTATAATTAGCCTATAATGAGCAATGAGGATGACCAGAGGTCACTTTTGTTGCCAACTTGGTTTTGGTGGGTTTGGGCCAGCTTCTTTACTGCAATCTGTTTTATCAGCAAGGTCTTTGTGAACTGTACCTTGTGCTGACCTCCTATCTCATCCTGTGCCTAACCTCCTGAAAATGCAGCCCAGTAGGTCTCAGCCTTATTTTACCCAGCCTCTATTCAAGGTGGAGTTGCTCTGGTTCAAACATCTCTGACACTAATAGAAAGCACTGATATGTCCAAAGTCTAAATCTATCTGCATGAGAACTCAATTAAAGACCAGGCCAGGGCTGCAGTATCTGGTTACCAAACCAGACAATGTCATTTCTACACTGCATGATCTTGATCGAGTTATATATCCTCTTCACATCTTTAAGATACAAATAATAATCTTCTACCAAAGGGTTGTTCTGAGAATGGAATATTGTTTAACACCCCTTCAACAAATGTTGTTTAGAACTATTTTAGGTATTGAGCATAAACAGAATTGTGTTTTAAAATCTACTTTTCTTTTCCCCTTAGTTATCATTATGTATTAGCAAATGGCCTTTAGTTAAGAGTTAATTGAGGACTTGCATTTCAAAACTTCTACCCTATGAGTTGATTGTAGTTCAAGTAGTAGCCAGTAAGAGATACATGGTCCAGCAATGGGTCTTTTTATTCCAAGAAATATCTATAAAGCATAATAAGATACTGGAAAGAAAAGTACTACCTATCTGTGTAATAACATGTAACTTCTTTGGGGGAAAGAGTCCTTGAAAATGATGTGTGATTCCTGATTATGAACCCAACCCTCTCTACAGGAATCACTGTTAATGGTTGGCCAACACCTATCCTTGGCAAGACACAGAGTGCCAGCTCCAGCTCCAACTCCTACAGCCCTATCCCCGCCACAGACCCTTGTGCAGAACTTGGAGAACTTGGATGGGCCAAGTGGCCAGGACAGACTATCTTGTTACAACCCCCATGAAGGTATTGCTTGAATGGGTTTTTTTAGGCTCTGGACCAACTCCTATTTTGTGTAATCTTGAGATTATATTTTCCTCTTCTATATTCTGAGAAAAGAAAGAAAATATTGTCCAGCATTTCTGAGCAGTTTTTGAATGGCTAGTTTGAAGCAGAGCTTTGCCATTTGATGTTTCTTTCAATCAACAGCAGGGCTGATGTCAAATTGGGTTTTAACCTGGTGCAGTTGAAAAAATTGTAGCACTTTTAACCAGGCTTGTGACTAACCTAGCAATCTTCAGTGAGTTCTATCCAGGCTGACAATCATAATACCTTGCTACCCCCTTTTTTCTCTTATATTGACTCCTTCACTAAAAGAATATCGGAATCATTGTTTTGTGTGTGTGTGTGTTTTTGTTTTTTTGTTTTTGTTTTTGAGACGGAGTTTCATTCTTGTTGCCCAAGCTGGAATGCAATGGTGCGATCTCAGCTCATCACAACCTCTGCCTTCTGGTTTCAAGCAATTCTGCTGCCTCAGCCTCCTGAGTAGCTGGGAATACAGGCATGTGCCACCAAGCCTGGCTAATTTTGTATTTTTAGTAGCGACGAGGTTTCTCCATGTTGGTCAGGCTGGTCTCAAACTCTCGACCTCAGGTAATCCGCCCGCCTTGGCATCCGGAAGTGCTGGGATTACAAGCATGAGCCACCACACCCGGCCTTTTTCTTTTTGATGATTCCTCTGTTGCAAGCCAGAAAGTTTTGGCATGTACTCCTGATTAATCCTTCTGAGAACTCTGCTTTAAAAACTGTGTATCTCTAATCCCTCTGTAAAGTGTGACACACTGAGGTAGCTTTGGGAAAATAAAGGAACAGGGCAGTGAAGGGCACTATGACATATCCTGCCATGAAAGGAGGGCGAGTGGTCTAAGATGGAACCGGAAATAGTGCCAAAGAAAAACCCATCACTGAAAAGAAGTTGCACAGCTCAAGACAATGATGGTAGGTCATATGTGCAGGGCATTGTTTGAAGCATTTCCATGGATTAACTTACTTCACTTTCATAATGATCCCTAAGACAGTACTGCTTTATTCTATTACCAGTGGAACACAGGGAGGTTAGGGTCTTTTAGCTAGACAACACAGAGCCAAAATTCAAGCACAAGAGCCTGACTCCCTGCTCTCTGACTCCGAACCATCTCTCACTCCCAGCATGAGATAAATTTGTTCTTCGAAGAGGGAAACCTGTCCATCAATCACTTTTACAAGATGCAAGTCTGATCATGTTAACGTGCTTTACGTGTCTTTGAGGGAGAATCCAAAGTTTTTAACTTCATACAAAAAGGTCAGTATGAATTGACCTTTGTCCACCACCAGAGCCTCATTGTTTTACTTGCCTATTCCCCACCTTCACCCCAAACTGTGACTCTCAGGAGCAGAAGTTGAGACTCAATTTTCTCTTTTATTTCAGTTCATCAACTGAGTCTCACTTCTTCAGTGCCTTGCTTTGTAGGTGCTAAATAAATCAATGAATTTTAAAGTACATTATTAGAACTAGAAGAGAAAAGAAGCTGCCCTCAGTGCAGGGTGCCCCTTCCTTCTCCCAAAACCCGAGAGTCCCACAGTGCATTTACAGTTTGAATTTGGCCTCTGGACTATCATCCTCATCTCCCAGCTCTTCAAAGCTGCTGCCTCCTCCCTCCCTCAATTCTGGAGGGCCTGAGTCAGTTAGGCACAAAACCCCAGCAGGCAAAGGAGGGGCTCCCTTACAGGAGGAGAACTTCAGTCACATCTGCTCCTTTCTCTTTCCCATTGCTCCCTGGCTGCAATGCCGAGGCAATAGGGAGCTATCTGGGACCACACTGTCAAGGCTAACACACCAGGGAAGAAAAAGAACAGGCCAAGTTCATGCAGAGCATGTTTTACCTAATGTGTGCCATGGAAACCGTCCTGTGGAAACTCAGTTCAAAGAAAGAAAACCCCATATTCCCTCCAGTCCTCTGCAATGTCAGGGGAGGGTTATCTCCATTATTTATTAAACTTGTGTTCAGTTTTAAGTTTCAAAGTGGTCATACAATGGAATCTCTGCCATTTACACATGTGTGCTTTGGTATGAGCTCCTTTCATTCCCTGTAGCTCAGTTTCTTCACCTGGAAAATGAGGATAAAAATAGTATCCTTCTCATAGTAAAGATTAAAATGGGTTAAAATATGTAAAGTGCTTAGAAAAGTGTCTGGCACATAGTCTGTGCTCATATTGTTGTCATTATTATTATTCTGTGTAAGGATAGCTTCAGGTTTAGATTGCTTCCACACATCCTATTGGACAACCTTAAAAAATTAGGCTGTACTTTCAAATTTGCAATATAGCCACAGGTCTTTTTTGTAAGAGTTAAGATACAGGTTTGGCTGCATCTAAGAAACACCAAAAATAACAACAGCTTGAGCAAAATGAAGGTTTATTCTTTCTCACATAAATTTTGCAGCTGATATAGGTTCTCCACAAAGTCAGCAGGCAGTCCATTTCTTTCTCTCCGTTCTGGCTTCCCTGTGGTGTATCCCGTGTTGGCATGGTCCAAGGTGTTCACTACCCCTTCACATCCCACCACGGAGCAGTGGGGAGAAGGCAGCGGGAACCGAGAACTGGACACTATGTTCATCAACTCTGCTCACTCTCTGTTGGTCAGGACCTAGTCTGTGGTGCTAATTCTCTGTGGCTCTGTGCCTGATCTCAAATTCTATTACTCTGAAAGAAGGGCAGAATGGATTTGGGGGACAAAGTTTCTGCCACATTTCTAGAGTTCATCATAGAATATCCACTTGCAAATTTTAGAAAAATGAAGCTTAACGCAGGGACTAAGACAGACAGGTAAGAGACTCTGGAGCCAGACTTCCTCAGTGTAAACCCTAAGCTTGACAGTCATCAGCTGTGTGAGCTTCGGTATGTTCCTTGAGCAATCTGTGCCTCAGTTTTCTCATTTGTAAAACACAGAAAGTACACTTAGTATCTAACTCATAAGAGCTAATTATACACACAAATATCTATATCAATGTCTATGTCTACCTTATAGTTCATTTATAGTAAGTGCTATAAAAATGTTTGCTAATATTAAACGCTGTATTATTAGAAACTCAATATTATTACTATATAAAATGTATATCTAACTTCCTCTGAGGCAGTGGTATTGGTGCTAATATAGGAAGTTTAGCATATTGGTTAATCTTTATTTTCTAAGAGAGTCTAATATAATAATAAACTCTTAAGTCCTAAAATGTTGTTTTAAAGGTTTATACATGTAACACAACTACAGTCATCTTGTACATTAGCAGTGTTTACCTCATTTCAGGAAATAATTCTTGACCTAGACCCAGAAGACTTAGAGTCAAATTATTTGCTGTGTGACCTTAGCCTGTCATTTCTCCATTCTGAGTCTTAGTTTCCTCTTCTGATAAGCAAGGAAATGGTATATCTCAGGATGTGGATGAGATAGTAGATGAGAGTGAATGGGAAAGCATCAAGCCTTCCTACCTGGCACTAGACAGGTGCACAGAAAAGCCCAGCTGAATCTGAAATTCTCAGAGATAGGCTGTGTCCTTGTCATTCCCTGAGAGGGGTCAACTGTGAGCAGTTTCCTCCAATTAAGAACCTTTGGAGAAGAAGTAGCAGTTTTAGGAACCAAGGGCCTATGACCAACATCTTTGCTGTATGCAGAAGTATTTTTCTTATAAAGTAAAGTACTGAATCTTGCACTTACTTGTCCACTTCTTACAGTTCCTGTGAAAAGGAGGGCAAATAGAAGTCATTCAGAAGGTGACCTTCACAGTTGAGAATGTCCTTGAGATGACAGCTCCCTTCTTGCGCCTTCTCTACCTCCATTTCTTTTTTCCTTCTCAACTATTTCTCAGAGGTGGATTATGTCTCCCCTGACAGGTTCTAGAGGTTGATTTTTTCTTAGAATGGGGGAAGAATCTCTATTAGAGAGATGCAGCTGCTTATCTCAATGCAGTCTCTGCCACTTCCACCTCCTTATCACTCCTGGCTCTCAGTTCTCCAGCTCATCACATTTCTCTTAATTTCTTTCTTCTTTTTTTTTTCTTCACCTGCCCCCATCTCTTGGGTTTGCTTTGCAAGATTAACATGAAGTGAGTTTGTAGTCTTAAAACCTGATGTGTTAAGTTCCTTCTTTCTTTTTAAGGAAGTTCAGCTCCTTTCCTCTTATATAACATCCCCACTGGCAACTTCAGATACCAGTGGGGATGTCATATAAGAGGAAAGGAGCTGAGCTCTGTCTGTCTTTCCAGGGATGCAAAATTCTGGATTCTAACCATTGCACTAGTTGTGTGACCTTGGACATGTCAATCTACCACACCTCTCTGAGACCCAGTTTCTTCTTCTGTAAAAGCAAGGAGAATTAGGTCCCCTCTTTTAGGTGAAATTAAATCAGGAGACACACTTAACGGACCTAGCACAACTCCTAAAAAGAAGTAGCCATTCAAGCAATGTGTTTCCTCTTCTTTGCTTTCCTTTATTGTTTTCCATCCATTTCTAATTATTTCATTAATCTAAAGGCTGTAGAGCTTATCCACAAATGGCTGAAGTCCCAACAACTTGCAACTGGGACAAAAAGGAAGAGAGATCAATCTATTTCTTGTTGATATCAAGGAATCTAATCCTAGATTATGGAGTACTTAGTATGTGCCAAGTCATTCTTACACCATTTTCATATATGTAAATTCACTTAAAATCCTCCCAGTGTGAGAAACAGGTATCCTTGCCATGGATAAAGGATTGCATACCTTGTCTGAAGTCACACAGATGCAAAAGGAAGGACTAGAAACTGACCCTGGGCATCTTTTGTGACTCAGGCGAATGTTCTTTCCATAACTCCAGGTTGCCCATCTCCTCAGGGGCTGACATGGTGCAGCTATCTGACCCAGTCCAGAACACAGAAACTACTCTAGGCATTTAAAGCAGAGAAAATATAGTACAGGGAATTGATTACACAGGTGACAGATGCGCTGAAATCCCAAACAGGGTTCCAGTAGTAGACAGCAGCAGACAACTCAGAAGTTCCGGTAGGAAAAGCTGCTACAACCCTTAGTTAGAGCCTTAGAGTCACCAGGAAATGATGGTACTACCAGAGCTCATAAGTGTAGACCTGCAGCGGGAGCTAGAATCAGTGAGGACATCCCTGTAAGAGCTGAATCTCAGAAGATTGTACTGCAGCTGGGGATACCCAGGGAGAGTGGGAGAGAAATACCCATTTTCTTTCTATCCTGTCTTCTGCCAGTGCCTCCCATTGGGTGAAACTACTGGGGAGCCAAAGGGCATAGGCCCCTGGGGACAAGTAATTACAAGTCCCCCTGGGGACATGTAATTCCCTGTGGGGACAAGCAGAACAGGAGATAACCTTGGAGTCGTTTGAGAATGAATAAACAAGAAGTCAGCTAAGGTGGCAGTGATGAAACAGAGATCTTAAAAGAGGACCCAATTAACATGATACACATACATTTACAGAGAGGTTCAAAATGATACAAGCAAACCCCCAAGTTTGGGTTAAACTTGGACTAGGAATTATGATGCATTTGGATGCTATAAGACACTCCCACCAGCGCCATGACCTGGCAATGCCCAGAAGTTACCTTATATGGTTCCGAGAACTCCTCGCCCTTTGGAAAATTCAGAAATAACCCAACCCTTGCTTTTAGCATATCATTTAGAATTAGCTGTAAATATAGCTAGCCAGAAATCCATGAGTGCTCCTCTGCCTGTGGGGTAGCTCTGCTCTGTCTATGGAGCAGCCATTTTGCTGGACACTGTTACTCTAATAAACTTGCTTTCTTTCACTCTTGGCTTGCTCTTGAGTTGTTTCCTGAGTGAAGCCAAGAACTCTCCCAAGCTGAGCCCCATGCCTTCCCTCTCTTCAGGGACTGAGATGGTGCAGCTATCTGCTTCATCTCCTACCTCATTCCCCACTCAGCAATTATACACTCATTCTTAATCTTAAGGGATTGTAGAAGGAAGGAGATCTATCTTCTGCAACAGATGCCTACTGATATTATGGGTGTAAGCCCTGTCTACCATTGGAGGAGTAAAAATCTCTGGATGCCTGATCTAAGGGGCCCAAAGGCAGAAAGTCTTTCTTTCCAGTTCACAAGACAGGATGGGTAGGAAACCTTGTGCCAGCATTATCTTCACATGAAGTTCTTGTAATTTAGAAGACACAAACTTTACAAGGAGGTTAAACAAGCAAATGCCAAAGATTAGTAATAACGAGATAGCCATTAAAGGTCTTAGGAAGAATAAAAACCGTGTGAAGCTTGGCAGACCATTTCTGATAGTTGACCAGAAATAGTTGGGGTCGGTTCCCTGGTTATATCTATGTAACCAGGTAACTTGTTTATATATATTTTGCATGTTGGCCTCAACCTTTCTAAAGTTGTTGATATAAGTGCAGCAAGTCTTGTTGACTACTACACAGACCTCCCCCACTTGTTAGGCTAGAAGATAGTCTACAGCTAGTCTATTGTTGAGGGCAATGTTGGCCAATGAGTCTAGGGAAGCCTGGAGACCCTGTAAGCTCTCTCCTATGCTTGTAGCCAAGTGTTCTATAGCCTGGGTAACTGTTTCTTAGGGTAGCTTCATGGTAGGTGAAGCCTCCCCAGAGGGTTGCTATTCCTATAGCCACTTCTATCCCAGCAGGATTAGTCCAGTTGTTCTCTTATGTCTAATTTTGGAGATAAGGCTACGGACCATTACTCTACTGGGGCCCAACTGTCCTATAGTACATTTTCCTTGGAACTGAGAGTTGTCTACACAAGGATAGGCTATGGTATGTAAAGACAGGAACAGTCTTGCCTTCAGAGGACAGTTTATTCCATTGACTAGTGCAAACGAATACATATCCAGGAGGTGTACATACCTGATGGAGGGCTGTGGAGTTAAACCAGTTAATCAAAGTAGGTCACCAGGCAAGAACATTGCTGTTGCATTGGGGCAAAAGAGGCCCTCCCCTGAGAGCTGGGTGTATTGGCCCAATGAATGATCCCTTAGTAGTGGTGAATGATTTTCCCCCTTAGGGGGTAGGTAAAGAAGCCTCCACTTGACTATCTTGATACCTGCCCAGAATGCCTATCAGTTTTAAGGGGGCTCATTTTTGTTAGACTCCACTACCAAATGAGATGTGGGACACCAATGGGTGGTACTGGGTTGATGTTTGGCAGAGAATACCATTGGGTAAACCAAGGACAGATGCCAACTGCCTACATATGTTGTATTCTCACAAACCTGGTTCTACACAGACAACAGGGGATGGTCAAAGATGGACAATTAAGCATGTGAGTCTCCTTCTGGGTGGATCAGTTATGGATGTCTATGAGGTATACACATTCAAGTCTTTTGGTTATCTCTTCAGTTGGTATAGTCAATGGTAATGGTGTTGTTACAAAGCCCTGAGTAAGATTTAATGTCATGTTGATCTTAGTGGAGACAAATTGAAACTTAACTGTTCCATCCCGTGGGGATGATTAGTCTGTTTTCACACTGCTGATGAAAACATACCCAAGACTGGGAAATTTACAAAAGAAAGGTGTTTAATAGACTTACAGGTCGACATGGTTGGAGAAGCCTCACAATCATGGTGGAAGGCGAGGAGGAGCAAGGCACGTCTTACATGGATGGCAGCAGGCAAAAAGAGAGCTTGTGCTTGGAAACTCTGTCTTATAAAGCCAACAGATTTCATGAGACTTATTTGTTATCACGAGAACAGCACAGGAAAGACCTGCCCCCACGACTCAATTACCTCCTACCACATCCCTCCCAAGTGTGGAAATTCAAGATGAGATTTGGGTAGGGACAGAGCCAAACCATATCAAGGGCCTTCCATAAATCCTTTCAATAGACTAAGCTTTAAGGTCCCGTTTGGAGCCATCTTAATGCATAAGAAGGCTATGGGTAGGAGAGAAACTCAGGCCTCTGAGATCTGACAGAGTTTTCCTGATATCCTCTTTAAAACACGGTTGGCCTTTTCTACCTTACCCAAGGATTGAGGCCTCCAGGAGGAGTGAAGATGATAGGTATCGCCTAATGCTGAGGAAACCTGCTGGGTCACCTTAGCTGAAAAGGTAAGTCTGTTATCACTTTGTAAACTTTTTGGTAATCCAGACCTTGGGGTTATTTCTCTAAGCAAGAATTTGAACACTTCTAATGCTTTTTCTGTCCTTGTAGGGAAAGCTTCTATCTACCCAGTGAAAGTGTCTGTAAGTATTAACAAATATTTTAGTCACCTTTAAGGTGGCATCTGGGTGAAATCTATTTGCCAGTCTTCTCCAGCGTATGTTTCTTGGTGTTGTACAGGTTTAAATAGGGGCAGGGGTATGGGATGCCTTCCTGAGTTGTTATGGGCACAAAGTTCACAGGCCCTAGTGACCCTTTTTCCAGTCTGAAATGTCTCTTCCCCAGTAATATTTGGGAAACCAGTTTGAATAGAGAATCCCATCTCAAGTGTGAGGGGTTGTGGAAATGCTTATTTTTCATTGCTCAGCCTCAGGGAGAGTTTTTTGCTTTCTAGCAACCACCCTGGGGAATCTTTCTCTAAGTCTTTTTTCTGCCTATTTAATTTCCTCAAGTGTACAGTGTGTTGTCACTGACATGAGTGGAGTATCAGGTATTAGTGCAGAAGCTAACAGTATTGAGCTGTCCTTAGCAGTGGCCTTTGGTGCCAGGTCATTTTCCATAATGATAGAGATATCTCCCTTTTTGTGTCTCCCGCAATGAATAACTTCTATTTCTTTTGGAGTTTGATGGCATCTAAAAGTTCCAAGATCTCAGAGTGATGTTGTATGGGGGAATCCCTCAGCTGTTAATAGTCCTCTTTCTTTTCATATGACAACACAAGTATGGAGTACCAGGAATTCATATTTAGAATCTGCAAATATATTGTTAAGTCTTTTTCCAGCTGGAGAAACCTAATTAGAGTGATTAATTCCACTTTTTGAGTAGAAGTCTGGGGAAGCAAAAGTTTGATCTCAATCACTTCTTGTTGGCTAACCACAGCATAATCTGTCTTCTTTACTCCCTCAAAATAAAGCTACTTCTGTCTATAAACCACTGAACATCAGGGTTAGGCAGGGGCTCATCTTTAAGTTCAGGCCTGCCAGAGCAGATCTGTTCTATGGTTTCTACACAGAAGTGGATGAGTTGGGGATCTGTTTCTTGGGATGTGAGGTCTGGCAACAGGGTAGCAGGGTTTAAAACTCAATATACTTTAAGGGTAACATTTGAGGTGTCCAGCCAAAGGGCTGATATTTAAGTATCTGGCCCCTGTTAACCACTGATTCTGTTTTCCCTCTAGGATCCCCTGTACTTCATGTGGCAGTGGTGGTCATGACATCTAATTGTTGTCCTAAAGTAAACTTACTGGCTTTTTCTACCAATAGAGGAATGATGGCCACAGTAACAAGCATTGTGCCCACCCAGCTACCACCTGGTCTAGAAATATGCTTGAGCCTTTGAGTTAGAAATCCAGGGCTGTCCTTTATTTTTCAGCCACATAGAGGGTAAAATGTTTTTCTAAGTTTGGGAGTCCCAGAGCAGGGACTGTTCCAGGTTTTTCTTTTAGGGTTAGAAATCCTTTTGCCAAGTTCCATCCCAATTCAAAGGCTCATAATAATTTCCTTTTAAAGATTCATAGAGTGATTTTGCTATGATCTCAAACGGGAATAAAAATCTGGCAAAATGCAGTCATTCCCAGAAATGTTCTTAACTCTTTCTTAGTCTGAGGGGGCTGGAGTGCCAGGATGGTCTATTTTCATTTCTGGGCTAGGGTTCTTGTTCCAGGAGTGAGCATGTATACCAAGTATTTAATCTTTTGAACAGAAGTCTGGGTCTCATGGGGAGACAGCTGATACCCTTGTTTTCCCAAAAAATTAAGGGCCTAAATTGTATTTTTTTTCCAGAATCTTCCCTAGTAGGGCTGGAAATTAATAGGCCATCCACATATTGTAGGAGAGATCCATTTGTTAACTGTAGTTCCCTTAATTATTTTGCCAACGCATTCCCAATGGGATGGGGACTATCCCTAAAACCTTGAGGGAGGACAGTCCAGGTAAACTGAAATGTAGCAACAGCATCTGGATTAGTCTATTCAAATGCAAAAATATACTGGGGGGTCCAGGTGTAAAGGTGTAGAGAAGAAAGTTTCCTTTAAGTCTAATACCATGAACCAATTAGCATCTTCAGAAACTTGGGTCAATATTGTGTGAGGATTAGGAACTATTTGGGTAGACTGGGACTGCTGCCTCGTTAACCATCCTCAGCTCCTGAACAAATTTGTATTCCCCATTTGGTTTATTTACAGGCAGGACAGGGGTGTTACATGGGGGCTGACAGGGTTGCGGTAATCTGTAGTTTAGAAACTTTGCTATCAGGGGCTATACACCCCATTGTGCTTCAGGTCTCAAAGGATATTGTTTTCTAACATGGGTAACCAACACTGGGTTTCAAACTAAACTAGACTGGGGGTGCATTCACAGCTCTACCAGGAACTTCCATGTCCCAAACAGAGGAATCTACTTGAGAAGTAATGCGCAATGGAAGGGAGGTCTATTTTTTTTTAACGTTTGTATTTCTTCTTCTCCAAAATAATTAAAAAAAAATTTTTTTTAATCTTATTTTTTCATAAGTTATTGAGGTACAGGTGGTATTTGGTTACATAAGTAAGTTCTTTAATGGTGATTTGTGAGAATCTGGTGCACCCATCACCTGAGCAATATACAACGCACCATATTTGTTGTATTTTATGCCTCACTCCCCTCCCACTCTTCCCCCCATGTCCCCAAAGTCCATTGTATCAATTTTATGCCTTTGCATCCTCATAGCTTAGCTCCCACATATCAGTGAGAACATACGATACTTGGTTTTCCATTTCTGAGTTACTTCACTTAGAATAATAGTCTCCAATCTCACCCAGCTCATTGCAAATGCTGTTAATTCATTCCTTTTTATGGTTGAGTAGTATTCCACTGTATGTATATACCACAGTTTCTTTATCTACTTGTTGATTGATGGACATTTGGGTTGGTTCCACAATTTTGCAATTGAGAATTGTGCTGCTATAAACATGTGTGTTCAAGTATCTTTTTGAATAATGACTTCTTTTCCTCTGGGTTAATCTGTCAGGGGTTACTCAGGGCTCCTCTATGGAGATGGTAAGGTGTCCAGTGGGAGCCGTGGAGGACCCTCAGTCCCCATCAGTCCTTTGTTCTCTCAGCCATTACGGATGTGGGTGACCAAGACTCTCTTTGGAGTTTGAAGCAGTCCCTTTTCCAACAGCCCTCTTGCTTACAGAAGGCACACTGGTTCTGCCCCAGGGGCTGTTGAGGTGGGAGCAATTGTTGCAATTGTGAATTGTGCTGCTATAAACATGCATGTGCAAGTATCTTGTGCAGGTAAGAACCTGGGCATCTTAGACACCATTCTGGTGACACTTCCCCAGGATGGGTAACCCTGAGGTAGCAGGGGGCTTAAGGTAGCTTCTAACAATTGTATTTTTGGGCTTTTTCTTTTTGCTTTATCTGTCTCCTCTGCCTTGTCCCTATTGTTATAAACTCCAAAGGCCATGTTTAACAGTTGGTTCATGGGGGTTTCTGCCTTTTATAGCTTCCTCCTAATGTCAGGGGCAGATTAAGTAATAAAATGGATATCCACAAAAGCTCATCCTTCTGGGGAGTCTGGGTCTGCATTAATATATTTCCTGAGTACTTCAACCAAATAGCCCTGAAAAAGTGGGCTTTTCATCCTTTCCCCGAGTTATTTCTCTACCGTTGTCATAATTAACTGGCTTAACCACACTTTTTCATACCTTCTATTACACAAGTTACCATTTGGTTTCTGCATTCAAGATCTTGGGAATCCCTCTGGTAATCCCATTTAGGGTCTTGATCTGGAACTTCACTTCACCAATGCAGCCTTGGTTACAAGCAGTCACTTTATCTGCATATTCATGGGCAGCACCCAGAATCCTTTGTTTTTCCTCTATGGTACAGCAGGTGGACAATAATATTTGGAAGTCATGCCAAGTTAAATCAAAGGACATGGTCAACTTAATAAACTCCCCTATAAACTTTGCTAGATCCTCCAAAAACTGGCCACATTTCTTCTTGCATAAAACCAAATCCTAAATAGAAAAAGGCACATGTACTCTGATTGCCTTCTCCCTCCATCAGCTACTTGCCACAATGGACAAAGGTGCAATTTTCGGGACTGATATGAGCCTCCACTCCCGGTGGTGCTGGTTGGACTTACCTCCTCAGGCAGCAGGGGATATAGGCTAAGGCTAGACGGGTTAAGGGAAGGGATGTTTGATGACCTTGAGGTAGAATGCTGTGCTGGAGAATTGGCAAGACCCCCTTCAGAATTAGGGTTCAACCTATGGGAGGCACCAGCTGGAATCAGAGGGCAGAAATGGGAGAGACACAGATATTTTTTCCCCTGCTCCCTCTCTACCAGCCTCGGGTGGCTCATCACCCTAAGGTGACAGCACATCCAGCCTAGGATGATAGCTTCCCATTACTGCTCATCTCTGGATGCTTCACCACCCCTTATGGGTCCTCTCAACTCCACCCAAACCTCCATAACCAATCCTTGTGTTAAACTTTCACAAAAAGTCCTTTGAGTATGCCACTTATTTCCAGCTAGGACCATGACTAATCCCACATCCCTAGGATACATACATAGTCACAATATTTCTATCCACAGGATATCACAAAAAAACCTAGATCATATCAGCAGTGAACAGGACCTCAGACATGCATCCCTAGGTGTAACCTCCTCATTTTGTATTTGAGGGAACAAGTCCCCAGATGGAAGAACCCTGTATCACTGCTAACTTGTGGCTAAATAAGAAAAGACTTTTATCCCAGAGTATTTTCCACATCACGCTATTTTTTGCCTTAAGTAAAAGTAATAGCTTTTCTGTATTCAATTACCTCCAGAAAACTAAAAAAAAAAAAAAAAAAAAAAAAATTCATCATCACAGAACTGCCTTACATAACCAAGAGATTCAATAAGCTGCTATTAAGCATAACATGCACTGAAGATAATAGTAATTTATGTTGTGCCATATTTTCTTGTTTGCACTGGAGTTTGGTATGTTTATAGAATAGAAAATTCATTTTTCATATTCTACGTCTGTTCAGCCAGCCTTTCTTGTCTGTGAAGCTTAAAAGGGCATCTAGCATTACAAACACTAACCATTTGATAGGGAGACAAAGCAGGAGGATCCTGCTCATACCCTGCACCTGCTTGTAAGGAGCAGCCGTGGTTCTTGAGGAGGATTCAAGAGTTTTCTCATTCATTCCTGTCAAAATGAACGTCATGATGGTCTGCCCAAATGCTGGTGAGCCTTCTTCAATGCCCCTTCTCACCCTCTCATTTGTCAGGTGATCCTGGGTCTCTGGCCACAGGAGATTTGCTGGGGATGGGAGGCACCTGACTTAAGTTAGCCAATTAGAGTCCCTTTCCCAGGAATTTAGACGTAGGACTGGGAAACTGTTGAAGGTAAAGGCAAAGAAAGAGGCTGAGGATGCAAAACCACGTGGCCAAACAATGCTGGAGCCATGGTTGGCTACTCTCCATGCTGTGGGCTGAAGAATGAAGCAATGTGACCACGAAGAGCAGTAATTTGTTCTGTTAGCAACAGTTCCTGCATGGACTTGTCCACCTTCCTGCCCTGGGATTATAATCCATATCCTGTTTCTACTTTCATTTTGCTTAAAGCATACGTCGGTTCCTGTTACTTTTTTAAATGCCCTTATCAGTCTCACACCCTGAGGAGTTTCCAGTCAACTCTGAAGAGAGAAGGTTTTAAGAGACAATTCAGAAATTCAAAGCTGAAAGCAGATTCACAATCTGTCCTGGTGGGTCATGACACCCTGATGAGCATGGTTTATGTCTGACCTGCATGAGGTGGCTCAAAAAAAACACCATGTCACCCAGACAGAGGGAGAGTTTACTTTAACAAAAAACTATACACACATACACATATATATTTTATCATCACAATAGAGACCAGAGAGGTTAAATGGCAAATAAATGAAATAAACCACTGCCATTTATCAAGGACCTACTATGTGTCAGCCACTTCCCACAATTTTTATTATTCCATTCCCAGAAAACTCAGCAGGTTAACTTATTTACCTATCCTGCCTTTTGCAGATGTGAAAATGAGGTCAGAAGAGGTCAAGAAATATGAAGTTAAAACACCAAATAAGTGGTAGAGGCTAAACTCGGAGGCAGGACATTTTACGCACAGTCTTTGACTCGTTGACAGGCCTCCTGCCTTAAGGAACTGATTTGATTATTTTCTCAGTTTTCAGCCCCAACCAGGTCTTTAGAGCTGGTACCACCCTGATGTCCACACCTGCCAGAATCCCTGCCTGGTGGAGTCCATAGCATACCAGGGGTTCTTCAGCTTTAGCGTGGTGAGAGCCACCTGGAGGACTTACTCAAACACAAACTGTTGGCTCCACTACCGAAGTGTCTAATGCAGAAGGTCTGGGGTGGATATAGAGGATTGCATTTCTCCCAAGCTCCCGGGTGATGCTGATGCTGATGTTCTGGGATCACACTTTAAGAATGTGGGCTAATGCCTTCCTTCACTTGACAGAATAAGACACTGAGGTTCAGCAGGTCCAAGTGAACTTGCCAAAGCCACACAGTGAGGAAAGAAACCTTAAAGCCCAGACCTGCAGGCCCTGGCACTCTGTCTTTAACTCCACTCTGTCCTGCTTATGTGCTTTCAGGGTGATCCTGAAGGTAAGCATAGGCCTGGCAGGCAATTTTTCAATTCCTCTAGGAAAGAATGATTCAGAATGCTAAAGCAATGGGGAATGTCTGATATGTCTTGGTACTTTCACTGACCCTAGAACAAAATTTTTTTAAAAAGTTATTCATTACCTAGAGCCCTTCTGTAAAAAGTGAGGCCCTTCCTATTAAAAAAAAAATACACCATTTCATCTCTTGGAAATTCTGACTCAGGGAATGAAGGGATGGAGCTTGAGAAATACCACTCTTATGCTTATGCTCAAACCCTTTTCTACTTGGCTATACAGCAGCAATTGCGCTTCTGACATCTGAGACCAAAAATGAAATTGGAGCTTTTCCCAGGGAAAAGCTGTGTGATGACTTAAATTTTAACTCACTTAGCAGCACTTTTAGAAAATGCTCCTGAGTTGTTACTCTGAACTTCCATATGATCACAGAGTCCTAGAATCAGGATGGTCCTCCAGAGGGTGGTCCATTCCCATGGCAGGAGGCACCTGTTCTTATGCCATCCCCAGATGAGTGTGATGGTTATGATGCCAATGACAACAGCTAGCATTTATGGAGTGCTTACTTGCCCAAGTCTTGTCTGAGGACTCTATGCTGAGAACAATCTATGAAGTTACTTTAAGCTCATTTTATGGATGTGAAAACCAAGGCACAAAGGCTAAATAAGTTGTGCAAGGATATACACAGCTAGTAAGTGGTAAAGGCCAGAATACAAACCCAGGCAGTCAGGCCCTTACCTGCTCTGCCTCTGACCATGGTAGCATAGCGCGGCTGTCACTTAGGTTGTCTAGACAACACTTTATGAGAAAAGAAAGCTAATGAACCTCAGCACACTAAGCAATGCATGCTTCTCCCAATAACAATGGTTCTGATTTTGATTTTGCGGTATAGATGGATTCCTACATAGGTAGAATTTAACTACTGAATTCTTAAATAAATATGTTTTGAATGACATTTTAGACAGCATTGTAGACTGAAATACCTGCAGGAGCCAGACAATGTAATTTGGATTAGAGAATGGATATCCAGTCTAAGGAGGGCAGTAGCTACATACCTCCATGAAATTTCTGCCATGTAGAAATACAAACCCATTGTTTTTAAGATACCCCTTTTTCCTGGTTTCAAATTTATTTATTTTTAATATATATGTGTGTGTGTGGGTGTATATACTCAGTTGAATATGTGTATATACACGTATATATGTGTACATATATACGTGTATATACACATACACATATATACTTGTGTATATACACATACACACACATATATACATGTGTATATACACATATATACATGTGTATATACACATACATACATGTGTACACACATACATGTGTACATACACACACATATACATACATGTGTACATACACATACATACATGTATATACACATACATATACATACATGTGTATATACACATACATACACATACATACATGTGTGTATACACATACATACATGTGTATATACACATACATGCATGTGTATATACACATACATACATGTGTATATACACATACATATATACGTGTGTGTATATACACATACATATATACGTGTGTATATACATACATATATACGTGTGTGTATATACACATATATACGCGTGTGTATATACACATATATACGTGTGTGTATAAACACATACATATATACGTGTGTGTATATACATACATACATGTGTGTATATACATACATACATGTGTGTATATACACATACATATATACATATATACACATATACACACACACACACACACACACACATATATATTCAACTAAAAATATAGTCAATATTGGCCGGGCATGGTGGCTCACGCCTGTAATCCCAGCACTTTGGGAGGCCGAGGCTGGCAGATCACCAGAGGTCAGGAGTTCGAGACCAGCCTGGTCAACATGGCAAAACCCCATCTCTACTAAAAATACAAAAATTAGCCAGGTGTGGTGGCAGGTGCCTGTAATCCCAGCTACTCGGGAGGCTGAGACAGGAGAATTGCTTGAACTCTGGAGGCGGAGGTTGCAGTGAGCCGAGATCACGCCATTGCACTCCAGCCTGGGCGACAGAGCGAGACTCTGCTCAAAAAAAAAAAAAAAAGTCAATATTTTTAATTGATTATATATATACAATATTTGTGGTCTATAATATGTTTTGAAATATGTGTACATTGTGGAATGGCTAAGTAGAGCTAATTAAAATGTATTATCTCACAAACTAATTTTTGTGGTAAGAACACTTAAAATCTACTCTCTGTGCTTTTCAAGAATACAATACAATTTTATTAACTATAATAATCATGTTTTACAATATTCTCCTGAAGGTACTCATCTTATCTAACTGAAATTTTGCATCCTTTAACCAACATCTCCCCTAGCCACTCCTGCCCTGCTAGCCCCTGGCAACCACCATTCTACTTTCTACTTTTATGAGTTCAACTTTTTAAGATTCCACATATAAGTGAAATCTTATTAGTCTTTCTGTGTCTGGCTTATTTCACTGAATAAATATCATTCAGGTTAATCTGTGTTATTGCAAATGACACAATTTCCTTCTTCATCAATACTGAGTCGTAGTCCATTATGTAAATACACCACATTTTCTTTATCTACTCATCCATTAATAGACACTTAGGTTAATTCCATATCTTCGCTATTGTAAATAATACTGTAAGAAACATGGGAGTGTAGACATCTCTTCTACATACTGATTTTATTTCCTTTGGAATATATAACCAGCAGTGGGATTGCTGGATCATATGGTAGTTTTAATTTTTTTCAAGAACCTACATACTGTTTTCCACAATGAGTTTACTATTTTACACCCTTACCAACAGCATACAAGGGTTCCCTTTTTACTACGTCCTCTCCAACACTACTTATTTTTTGTCTTTTTGATGACAGTCATTGTAACAGGTGTGAAGTGATATTCAGTGGGATTTAAATTCGCATTTCCATAATGATTTGTGATGTTGAGAATTTTTTTCATCTACTTGTGGGCCATCTGTATGTATTGTTTTGGGATATGTGTATTCAGATCCTTTGCCTATTTTTTAATCTGTTATTTATATTGCTGTTGAGTTGTGTTCCTTAGATAATTAAGAGACTGATTCCTTATCAGATGTATGCTTACAAATATTTATTCCCATTACGTAGGTTGTAACTTCATTCTGTTGCTTGTTTTCTTTGTTACGCCAAGGCTTTTTAGTTCGATGTAATTTCAGTTGTCTATTTTTGCTTTTGTTGCCTGTGCTTCTGGGGTCATATCCAAAAATTCATTGCTCAGGCCAATGTCATGGAGCTTTTCCTCTGTTTTCTCCTAGTAGTTTTATACTTTTAGGTATTATATTAAGTCTTTAATCTCCTTTGAATTGATTTTTTAATATGGTGTGAGATATGGTCCAATTTTACTCTTCTGCTTGTAGGTATCTAGTTACTCTAGTACCATTTATTAAAGATACTGTCCTTCCCCCATAGTGTGTTCTTGGCACCCTTGTTGAAAACCAATTGACAATAAATGCATGGATTTATTTATGAGCTCTCTATTGTGTTCCATTGGCCTATATGTCTGTTTTTATGCCAGTAGCATGCTGTCTTGATTACTATAGCTTTGTTTGTTTTGAGATGGAGTTTCACTCTGTCACCCAGGCTGGAGTGCAGTGGCATGATCTCAGCTCACTGCAATCTCTACCTCCTGGGTTCAAGCAATTTTCCTGTCTCAGCCTCCCCAGTAGCTGGCATTACAGGCGTGCGCCACCACGCCCAGCTAATTTTTGTATTTTTAATGGAGACGGGGTTTCACCATGTTGGCCAGGCTGGTCTCGAACCCCTGACTTCAGGTGATCCACCTGCATTGGCTTCCTAAAGTACTAGGATTACAGGCATGAGCCACCGCACCAAGCCAATTATTATAGCTTTGTAGCACATTTGAAGGCAGTTTGATGCCTCCATCTTTGTTCTTTTTGTTCAAGATTGCTTTTACTATTCAGGGCCTCTTGTGATTCCATACAAATTTTAGGAATTTTTCCTATTTCTCTGAAAAACGTCATTGGAATTTCGATAAGGATTGCATTGAATCTGTAGATCACTTTGGATAGTGTGGACATTTTAACAATATTAATTCTCCTAATCCATGAACATGGGATATCTTTAAATTTATTTGTGTTTTCTTCAATTTCTTTCATCGATGTCCCTCTGAGGGACTGGATACCACACTCAAGGTTATCTGGGTGGTAGGTTTGGAAGCTCAGATTCAAACCACACCCATTTGTATTGTTTCACTTCTTTGCTTATTTGATATTTATTGAACACATATCTAAGTCAGGTATTCTGAGTATAAAATAGATAACAAGGCAATATACTATGGAGTAAAGTAGGTATGAATTCATAGGCATGTGTTTTATTGTGTTCAAGCTACTATAACAAAATTCCACAGACTGAGTGGCTTAAAGAGCAGGCATTTATTTCTCACAATTCTAGAGGCTGGATGTCCAAGATCAAGGTGCATACAAAATTGGTTCCTAGTGAGGGCCCTCTTCCTGGTTTTCAAGTAGCTCTTCCTCATTGTGTCCTCACATGGCAGAGAGAGAAAAAGACAGAGAAAGAGAGTGCACGCATGAACTGATCTCTTCCTCTTCTTATAAGACCACTAATCTCATCATGAGGGCCCCATCTTTGTGACTTCATCTAATCCTCATTACCTCCCAAAGGCCCTATCTCCAAATGCCATCACATTTGGAGGTTAATCCTTCAACATATGAATCTCGGGGGAACACAAATGTTCAGTTCATAACAGTATGTGACCTATGCAGTTGCACAGAGCCCTATGCTCAGAAGATCCCTATACTTGGTTTAATGCTCTACCATTAGCATCTTAATTAATAATTTTGAAACATGGGACCCTACATTTATTTTGCCCTGTAACCTGATATGTAGCCAATCTTGGAGTCAAGAAACAAAGATTTTCAACATCAGCATCATTAGAAGTTCCAAAGACTCTTCAAATGCCATCTAGTATAATCACTCACTGGACCTCTGAATCCTGTTTGCAACATTCACAGCTTTGGTTGGAACATCTTTCATGACAGGGAATTTGTTTACAACTGCCCATTGTCCCTGAGTGGTGGCAAGAGGTTACCTGTGCAAATGCTAGTTCATCTTGGATCTTCTATTTAGGGTGCCCAGGTAGATTTGACCTCAGAGTCACCCCTCAATCCAGAGGGTATCCTCACCAGGGTCTGCATATACTCTGGTATTACCTCAAATGTGACAGACTTAGCAATTATAGTTACTGAAACACTGATGGGTCAATTCAAAGTATGGAATGGTTCATTTGGAAGCAAACACAAGATGCTTGCAGAAAGTGGAACCAACATATGGATTAATAGTAATGAAACGTTTGGGTACCTAGAGTGGTATTTGGCAACTCTCAGAGTAGTACCCTGGATTGAATAAGGGCTTTGGAGGCAAACAGAGCTTAGGAAGCTCTGCTACTTACTAAATGGTTTGGCCAATCTATTAATCTCTATAACCTTCTCCATCTATGTGTGAAAAAGGAATAGTAACGCCTGCCTGATAAAGTGGTAGTGAGCATAAAATGATACTAGACAGAATATTTAACAGAAGCCCTAGAATAGAGGAGGTACTCAAAGAATGTTAGTTCTCTCCTCACTTCTCCTTCAAGAACAGAATAAAAATAGTTTTAGACTGTTACAGGAATAATAGATGAGAATAAAAATAGTGTAAGACCTTAGAGATCACCTAGTTCAACCTAAGCATTTTACAGATGGAGAGACAGAAGTATGTATAATGAAAAACTTCTCAAGTAGGCAGATGCACAAACTCCTCTATGTTTTTCTTTTTCTTTCTTCCTGGAATATAATGTATTTATACATGCAATGACCCTGCCTGAAAGCTGAAAATCAGATCAAATGAATTCTAGATGTCATTGAATAATATATTTAAAAACACCTTGTAAACTAAAAAATTGAAGAATGTAACTTACTTTTTGGAGCATCTTTTATGTATCAGGTACTATATAGCCTTCACTTGTTTTATCCTAACAACATCCTTGTAAGGAGAATATTATTTCTCTGGTTTGCAAATATGGGAGAAAAATTAGGTCCAGAGAGAGAGAGAGAGTAGCTGGCCTAAGGGCACAAAATATAGAAAATGATAGAGGCAGGATTGGAACTGGGTCTGTCTTGCTCTTGTGTATTTACCACTCTACCTCTTACTCTTATGCAAGTATAAAGACTTCTTACTTGTTATGTACAAACGTTGTGTGTACACATTGATGATCACATATACCAGTGACCACTTGTCTATCTGGCTCCTAACCAAAGTTGTCATTTGCATGTACATTTAGTGAACGTTAAGATCGTTAGGTGTCAAAGTGAGGTCTTCTTTAGAGCCCTAAGTTATTTCAAATGAAATGGGCATGTACCAGGAGCCCTGACTTTTATTCATAGCCAATACCCATACCCAAGCTGTTGTACTCCATTTCACTGTGTACATAGAGGGGATTTCAGATCCATAGATCAACATAGGCTCGTCTGACCTGAACACTGAGCAGAAAAGTCAATTACAGAGAAATAACCAACACTTGGGAATATCTCTTTCTGCGGGTTAGTAGACCTTGACATAACTAGAGGGGACTGTAGTCAAGTTGAAGAGCTTTTACATAAAAAAGGAATCAGCTTGTTAAATCTATTCCCTTTTCATCCCGGGGGATAGAAATGGGGCCGTGAGATGGAAGACAGGGGGATCAGATTTGCCTTGACATACAAAGAAATTTTTCCTCATCAGGAGTGTGCCCAAGATGGAAAGGGCAGCTTTGGAAGGTATTGTGATCTCTTTCACTGAAAGTGTATAAATACAGGCTGCATGAATGTCTTTAGGGGATGCCGAAGATGACATTCAAGCAACAGATGACTGACTGTGTCAAGTAAGATAAGAAATATCTTCTCTTAAATAGTAGGACAAAGTTCTGCTGGCATTATAGCCAACAAAGCCAAAAATACCCAAACCTTGCCTCATCCCAGTGACCCCTTCTCTGTGAAATCCTTGAGAAAATTATACCTACAAAGATCAATGAAAATAAGAAACAAACCAAGATTTTATTATTCATTGGGCCAGTGTGTTTTACCCCAAAGGAAAATATATAGAGGGGTTGCAGCAAAATCTCACCTATACATCCATTAAGGTTTCTATCTTCCCTCAAGTCTCACTGGATTCTAAGATCGCAAGCTCCTTGGCCTGTTACAATGATCATGATAACAAAATGACATGCTTGTCAGATATGGATACGAGAAAAAAAGGAGAGAAAATCACAATAGCTGAATACTGAGTGGGCTCCAGATGCACGGAGGAAATATGGAAGGAAGGCCCAGGTGCATTTATGCAATGTTTCAATGCATGGTGACTGTGCACTGTCATATGTGGTAGGATTTATGATCTTGACTGTCACTGGCTACCATTTTACTGGTATCTCCCTTGCCTTGTAGAGAAACTAGCAGGGGCAGAGGAGAGGAAACTCCCCTTCCCACTTGCATCTTCTCCCTCTGGTACTTACTAAGGTATTAGACTATGGAGAGGCCAATGAGCAGAAACCACGGTGAGCTGAATTTTTGGATCAACATTAGAAACGATTTCTAACAGAGCTGCTCCAAAATATAGCAGGCTGCCTATTATAGCACAACTTCTCTTACAGCAGGGACAAATTATTTATTATGTCTATATCCTCCAGGATGCCTAGCACAGAACTGGTGGCAGAGTAAGTGTTGGAAAACTGTTGATTTTGGGCTGAGCACATCACCACAAAGGAACTCAGAAGGCAGAAGACTGTTCAGAAGACTCCAGAGGAGCTTCTTGCATGAAATTGATCATTACACTATACAGCCTCTAAATCATCCATATCTAAAAGTCCATGACTTGAAGTTTGGGGCTTATTTCAGAGTGGGTCGGGCATATTGCAAACAATTCTAATGGTTAAACCATAAAACTAATCTTCTAAGGACATAGACGTAGCTTTTGGTGATGGGAAAAATTGAGATTCTTGGAATGGTAGAGTTTGGACTTGGGAGGCAGGGAGCTCAGATTGTGGTTAATAATTACATGAAATAATAGGAGATACACTGTCATGAAAAACTGCACAGGTTGGTATCTTAAACTGGCAGAGATCCCAAGTGGAAGACTAAGGGTGAGGCTTAGGCTGAGTTATATTCGCGCCAGAAACAACTGTTTAGATGTTGTTATATATTAACTCTATGAGACAAAGCTATGGTCACAATTTGGAAATTCCCAAATGATACCTTGTCTTTTATGGCTTAGTGAACATAAAGGTAGATTCTAAAGCTCACATCTAGTTTTACATAGTTTCCCTTTTTTGAATGCTTTTCTGTACTTTAGATTCTTTCTGCATTCAACATGACTCCCAAATTGGTATCACCAACTTGAACCTCTTCTTTGAACTTCAGACTCATCTATCCAACTGTGTCCTTGCCATTTGTACTTGGATGTCTGGTGATCAGCTCAAGCTTGGCATGTCCACACCTGCTCCTCCCATAATCATCTTCATCTTGGAAAATTACAGCTCTGCCTTTACAGTTGGTCAGGCCAAATCCTAGGGGTCATTCTTCATTTATTTCTTTTTGTCACCAGCCTAGGTCCAAACCCATACCAAATCTATTGTGTCTACCTTCAAAGTAGAACCTGAATTTGACCATGTGGGAGATGATGTAACTGTTCTCTATCATGACTTCTGTCTCTGTGATGCTCCTCCCTTGGAAGACTGTTTATCCTTGCTCTGCTGCACTCAGGAGCAGTCCTGTTCCTTGTTTTGGCCAATGCCTCTTCTGCAGCTGGCAATGTTCCAGACAGAAGCTACTTTGCCAGCCTGAGTCTTGCATTAAGCATAATATGGATTAGAGCCACAGACATTCCATGAAGCACATATCCCTCAGCAAGTAATAAACATTTGTTATTCTATGCCACAGAGATAACAGGGATCTTTTGTTAGTAGGCTATGGCAGAGCCTATACTGACTGATACAAACCACTTCCCATCACCTCTACTGTGACCACACTAGTACAAGCCTCCCTCATCTTCTGCAGGTAGTAATGCCATATACTATTTCTACTTCTTCCTGCTATAGTTTATTCTCAACCCCATGGCTGAAGGGATCCTTCAAAAACATGAATTGGATCATGTCACTTCTTTACTCAAAATCTTCCAATGGGTTCTCTTCTAATTCAGAGTAAAGAACAACATCCTTATACAACTGTTTACAAGGCCCTACATGACGCTGCCACTCTCATACCCAGCACCACTAGTTTTCAGATCTCATATCCCACTCCTGTCCTCACACCCAATGAACTTTAGTCACAATAGCCTCCTCACTGTTCCCCAGGCATGCCAAGTATGATCATGTGATGATACTCTAAACTTTTGCACTTTCTGTTCCCTTGCCTAATTGCTTTTCCCTCAGCTACATCCATGGCTTTTCTGTCACCTTCTTCTGGTCTGTGCTGTGTTTCTGTGTCTTACCCTTTACCTTCAAGTACTCCCTCTCCTACTACCACTTTAAATTTTTCTCCATAATTTATCTTATCATCTGACATACTATACATTTACTTTACATTTACCATCTATTTCCTCCATCTAAAATGTGAGTGTCATGAGGACAAAAACTTGTTTTGTTAAAAGCTACATTACCCAGTGTTTTGACTTGTATCTAGCACATGGGTCAATAAATATTCGCTCAATGAATGAAACAGTGAAATTTTTATAACCAGAAAGAATACAAAAAACAAAGGAGATAGAAGAATGCATTTCTTTTAAAAAGCAACTTAGTGGTGATGGAGACAGATATTCACACACAAACGCATCTCAAATTTCAAGTTCACATTAATGAATGCCGTGATGTGAGTGGTATCTCTGATATATTAAGCTTCTCACTGTGAATTCAATTGGCACCCTGTATAGTTGGCACAATTTACTCATTTCTCACTTAAAAATAAAATTCTTTTTAAAAACCCTGTCCCTGTTCTGCTGATAACAATAAAAATCAAGAAAAAGCTGAAATAAAAATTACCATATTATATATTTCTGTAACACTTTATGGTTTCCAAAGATCTTTTATATTTTTTGTCTTTCAGCAACTTTATTGGGAAACCTGGGTCCTCACCATTTATAGATAGAGAAACAGAGGCTTAGAAAGGTGACATGACTTGCCCAAAGTCATAACAGCAGTAGCAATGCTAGAATTCTAACTGATTAGAATTCTAATCCTGACATCAGAGCCAATAATCTTTTTTTTAATTCTCCAAGTTATCTCACGCTACTTAAGGCAGTATGAAGTAAAATCATGTAAGTGAAAATTCTTCGCCAATGGTAAAATATAAGGCAAATGCTTTTATTATTATTTTATGACTGCTGTGCTATCATTCACATGGCATATTTTGAAAACTGTGACCTCATCTGGAAATGAAGAGTTTGGACAAAAGCATCTCCTAGAGTCTTTCAGTGTGAATAGTCAATGATTTATTTTCCTTTAAGATCTTCTGGCATTACTAAATGGACCAGGACAAGTCTTTCCAGAAAGGATCAAAGAAAGGGCTGTCAGAGGAAAGAGACACACAAGAGAAAGTTCAGCACCTCAAAAAGAGTAATTATTTCAGAGCAGGAAAAGCCAGCCAACAAAAACACCATGCTCAAGGGTTTCAAATGAAAGTGTCTTTTCAACCATAGCTTTAATGGAAACCGCTAATGAATCAAAGCACCTGCTAAGAAATAAATAACAACCTCAAAGGGGGTTGAAGTTACAGTGGAATGCAGAGGCTGATCTAAGAGAGTCAAACAGGGCACAGAAGGTTGGTTTTATTGTGCTAGGAGGAATAGGTAGGCACATGGTAGACATCCCATAAGCACTGGCTGAATGAGTGAATAAATCATGAACACAACGTGTTTTATTTACTCAGTCATCCAGTGCTTATGGGATGCCTATTATGTGCCAGGTGGCATGCTCAGAGAAAGTTCACTTTCCAGTTGTGTTAGGAAGTAAGGAAGCCCAGGAAACAAGATAGTCAAGATTTTGTGATATCTCAGTGACTTAAAGATTCACTTCTTCCCTAAATATTAAAGAACTGGAAAGAGCTACACGGGTGGCTGGATAACTGGGTAAACTGAAAAAGAAGCATTTGGTGGTAGGGGTATACCCTGTCTTGGGTTACTAGGTCTGTGGTTATGAAATACCACAGTGAGTGGTTTAAACAAGTTTATTGTCTCAGTTCTGGAGACTAAAAGTCCAAAATCAAGGTGTCAGCAGGGTGCGCTCCTTCTGAATGTGTGAAGGAAAGAGCTGTTCCAGGCTTCTCTCCTTGTTGGCTGGTGTGATGGTTAATATTGAGTGTCAACTTGATTAGATTGAAGGATGCAAGGTATTGTTCCTAGGTGTGTTTGTGAGAGTGTTGACAAAGGAGATTAACATCTGAGTTGGTGGAGTGGGAGAGGCAGATCCACCCTCAGTCTGGGTGGGCACCATCTAATCACAGCTGCTAGCATAAAAGCAGGCATGGAAAAAGCAGACTTGCTGAGTCTCTGGCCTCCATCTTTCTCCCATGTTGGATGCTTCCTGCCCTCGAACATCAGACTCCAAGTTCTTCAGCTTTTGGACTCTCGGACCTACACAAGTGACTTGCCAGGGGCTCTTGGGCCTTCAGCCACAGACTAAAGGCTGCCCTATCAGCTTCCCTACTTTTGAGGTTTGGGGATTTGGACTGGTTTCCTGGCTCCTCAGCTTGCAGACGGACTACTGTGGGACTTCACCTTGTGATCATGTAAGTCAATACTCCTAATAAGCTCCCCTTCAAATATACATCTATCCTATTATTTCTGTCCCTTTGGAGAACCCTGACTCAAACAGCTGGCATCTATCTCTTCACATTGTCTTCCCTCTGTGCATCTCTCCGTATCCAATTTTCCCCTTTCTATAAGAATACCTGTCACACTGCATTAGCAACCACCTTGATGACCTCGTTTTCACTTGGTTATTATTTCTGTAAAGACAGTATCTTCAAATAAAGTTACATTCACAGGTCCTGGGGGTTAGGATTTTAACATATGAATTTGAGTGAACATAGTTCAACCCATAATACATCCTTTCTCATGTACAACCAGCCACCTTTAGGGATGGCTTGGGTAGTTTAGTCTGGTTCAGCTAAAATGTAGTGAAAGACTAGCAATACTAGGGTACTAGGCATATTTTGAGATGACTGAGACAAAGCTGCTGCCCTGAGCAGTCATTGCATTCATGTTGTCATCTTGTTTAGTGAGCTTCTCCCTAGAGGCCAGGATCTCTCCTAGGCATTAGGCATATGAATATGAATATGAGGTGATCCTAACTGTCCAAGAAATAGATACAATTATTACAGAGTGTGAAAATGCATCTAACCCAGGTTGAGACTCCAGTGACAACATCACTTTGGTGGTGACACCTGAGCTGAATCCTGAAGGATATGAATGAGAGTTAGCCAGAAGTAACAGAGGACAGAGGTGTTTGTCCTCCTTTTTATTAGTTGCCAGCAGCCTGGAGACCCAGGGAAGAGTTGATGCTGCAGTTCCAGTTTAAAGTCAGACACAGGAAGAATCCTCTCCTCCTGAAGGAGGTCTTTTTTCTCTTAAAGCTCATCCAATGGGTTGGATGAAGCCCACCCACATTGTGGAGGCAATCTTCTTTGTTCAAAGTCTGCGGACTTAAACATTAATCTCATCTACAAAATACCTTCACAGCATGTTTACCAGGTATCTGAGTACTGTGACCTAGCCAAGCTGACACAAAAAATTAATCATCACACTCTCTGTTCCCAGTGTGCTAGGGGATAGAGAGTGTTCTCACATGCCTGGATTTTACTCTCAAAATAAATAATGGTCCATTCTGCCCCATTCCACTTGGTATCTGGTGGTCTTCTACATTAGCTCATAAATGCCCTGGGTGTTGCTGGGAGGCATCTGCACATGGCAGTTGGTCCTCTGGGGTGTGAAGACTCCAAGCATGCAGGATGTTGATTACTCGTTCTTGGGAGATGGTCGGCAAAGTCTCAAAACTCATGGTGATATCCCCCATCCTGAGATTCCAAGATGCCTGATGTACAAGATCTGAAAGCAAAGGGTGACGCTGCTGTGGATGATGAGATTGCACTGGGGAGGCATCCTTGGGCTGCAGTGCAGGGCTGGCTCTCCAATCCAGGACAGCTCCCGGACACTCCCATGTTGTCCCCCACAGCAGACCTGTCTCTCCACTGGCCTAGCACTTTCTTTACTCCATGCCAAGATTGGGATCATTCTCAAGAAACAAATCTCACATCCAGTCCATCTAACGTTTCTTCATAGCAGGCAATGCCACCTGGCATTGAATTGATGTGTTTGTCTGTCTCCTTCACTAGAAGATAAGGACTCTGAGGGCAGTTCTGTAACTGTTTTGTTTGCTGCAATTTCATAATAGCTAGATGAGTATCTGGCACATGGTGTCACTCAGCAAATAATTGTGGAAGGGAGGGAGCAAGGGAAGGGAAGGAGGAAGGAAGGGGGGAGAGAGGAAGGACGGAAGGAAGGAAGGGAAGGGGAAAGGGAGGAACAGAGGAAGAAAGGAAAGTAAAGAGGGAGGAAGGAAGTGAGGAAAGGAGGAGGAGGGAGCAATGATGCTCAGACCCAGGGCCCCTGCCCCCTGACCCTTTTCTTCCCAGTATTTTCCTCATGGCCACATATCCTTGTTAAGGCTTTTCCTTTCTGACTCCCTGGCTCATCAGCAAATGATCATGAACCTTAGTATCAGTAATTACTAATACTTGCCAATTATTTCACATGAGCCCAGCACCATTCTAAGTGCTTTAGAGTAAATCCTCATAGCAATCCTATGAGGCCAATGTTAGCATCCCTACTTTATAAAGAAACTGGGGCACAGAGAGAGATGAAATTTGCAAGCTTACAGAACTGGTATGTGCCAAAACTTGAACTTGAGCTTAGGCAGTCCGGATGCAACATTTACTCTTTTAATTATTGCATTATTCATGCACGTACACACACACACATACACACACCCTACAAAGTCACTTGTTTTTTCCTCCTTTCAAGGTAAAGCAGGTCCAGCTTCTCAGAGACATTCCTTTATGCCAAGTTACCCCAACTCCACACAGATTGATGAAAGAACTTGCTACCACTCTGAAAACCCAAAACATAAAGCCTCCAAGGTTGCTGGGCAGTCTATATGGCCTAGTCTACCACTACTGGAAACAGGAATCCACCCATACAGTTATACTATAAATTGTACTGACATTGTGGAAGGATCTTAGAACTCTCAGTTCTTTCAGTATTTCATAGTTAAGACACATATTTTGGTCTTGTCTCACAATAATATTCGTTTTTTAATATGTTCATTCCTATTCTGTGTCCTGTATTTGAAAAGCTATAAATGTACTTAGTAGGAATATTTTTAACTTGTATATATTATTCACAGTGTCTAAACCATGGCTGAGTACATGGGATATATGCTAATAAATAATTGTACTGTGGCCCATTAGGGTGTTTCTGTCAATTCAGTTCATCAGCCTGTTAGAAAGTAAATGTATTTATGCTGGATCCCTGAATCATCTAACCAGTTTATTGTCTGTACTGCCACTGAAATTATCCAACACTTCCCATTTTATTCAAAAACCAAATCATGAATTCCTTAACACAACATTCCAGTCCTCCTAATCTGGCCCACCTTACTCTCCCTGCATATATTTCATCAGTTTCCCAAATTTTCCTGAGACATCCTGTATCTCCACAACCTTGCCCTTCTGTCTAGAGTACTACCTTTTCCTAGAATGACCATCTCTCAATTTTTCTCAGCCTCAGTAACTGCTATTTACCCTTCAAAACCTGGTTCAGAAATCCCTTTCTCCACGCAGTATTTATTGGAAACCCTACAGCTAGTTCTTCCACTCTGAGTACCCATAATTCTAATACGTAATGTAATGACAATATATAATATAATTTATTAGTTCTTTAAAAAAAGAAACATATTCATTTCTGTATCATCAATATCTAAACCAGTACCTGGCATGAGCTATGTATTTATGAAGTTCATTTTTTTTTGAATGATTGCACTGCTCCCATCTTCTTAAAAAAAAAAAAAGCTGGTAAAGAATGGCACATAAAATATCCTAACAGCATGCTCAGTAATCAGAAGCAATCTGGATGCTTTAGATATGTAGCCATCTAATGCCATGAACTACTGACTGAAACCAAGCACAAAACACGCCAGACACACTGAGCAGATTTTAAATTGTAAAAACCTGAAAAAGAAATGCTCAAACCCCCTGGATTCTACTGAGTTAGAGTATAAGACCCAAAATGTATTCTATTGCCAAGCTAAAATAAGTCCTTTTAAAATGTAGATTTTAACAGGATCTTTTTAAATGGCTGTTTTTCTTGATAATAGAAGTGGTTCCCACAATTTGCACAAAATTGAAAAATATATTAATATATTAAAAATTAAGACAATACATTCTTTAAAATAATGGCTGTGAACATTATGGTGTATTTCTTCAGTTTTTTTTTTCCTATTGGTACATTAAAAATTAGTGACAGAATTCAATGAAAAGTGTTTAGTTTACCATTCTAATCTTTTCACTTAATAATATATTTTGAGCTATTTTCCGGGCCATTAAATATTACTTGGAAATATGATTTTTTATGACAGAATACTATCTGCTCACATTTATTTAGCAGTACTCTACTTGCTGCATATTTAGATGGTTTCCTCGTTCTCTTGCTTCTATAAATAACGCTGCGATGTACATGCTTGAACATAAAGCTTTCTCCAACATTAGCTTGCATGACATAGCAGGATAATGTCTTCAAGGTTATAACTCTCCTGCCCAAAGATTATGTGGGTATAAATTTATGGACTGTGTGTATTGTCCAGACTCAGTTTGGAGGAGCCTAGACCCAGCGACAAGGATGAACCTGATCACTGGCTATTTTCAGACCTGTCTGACCAAAGGGTAGCTCTCAGGATATACGTGGCAGGGATCCTTGGTCCTGAGAAGAGTTTTGATCCTAGAAGAATATCATTTCCTAGAGATAATGCCACCTGGTTATACAGAAGCTTTACCCTCTGATATCGTTTGAATCTGTGTCCCCACCCAATTATCATGTTGAAATGTAATCTCTAATGCTGGAGGTGGGGCCTGGTGGGAGGTTATTGGATCATGGGGGTGGTTTCAAATTGGTTAGCACCATCCCCCTTGTTCTGTTCTCCTGGTAGAGTTCTCGCGAGATCTCGTTGTTTAAAAGTGTGTAGTACTTCCCGCTTCTCTCTCTTCCTTCTGCTCTGGTCATATAAGATGTGCCTGCTTCCCTCTTTTCCCTTCTGCCATAATTAATAAGTTTTCTGAGGCCTCCCCAGAAGTCAAGCAGATGCTGCTTGGGAAAGCAGCAAAAGTAGCTCAGAGCCCTATATCCAAGGGGAACACTCACTCAAGCCCAGGCAAAGAGGGGGTTCACGTCCCAAAGGTCTGATCCAAGGGCAACCTGGTCAATTCAATGTGATAAACAGCAAGCCACTGGTTTTGAATTCTCCTACATCCCCACATTCTAATCCTGGCATTGCCTGTTGCCAGCTCTTTGATCTTGGGCAAGTAACTCACTACTTAATGTCTCAACCTTCTCATTTTAAGACAGAGCAAACAATATCTGCCTTGACTTATAGCTGTAGGATTAGAAGTGCTTTATAAAACAGAACAGTGTAGTGGCACATAGTGCATAGTCTGCAAATCATAGCGGCAAGAAGAAGAGAAGCAAGAAAACAGCAAGAGAAGAAGAAGTGTATTGCATCCGTTACGCTGGGAAACAAACTCTGGGACAGATATGCATATGCAGAAGATTTCTTGGAGAATGATCTCAGGAGCAACACCTCTGAGAAGTTGAACTGCCTGATATCGCAACAGAGACCTTGGGATAGCCCTTCAGAGCCAGGTTGAATTGAGGCCAGGAAGCCAAGCTCAGTTCCCAAGCAAAGACAGGGAGCTACAACCCTGGGTGAGGCAGCTGCCCTCAGCCAACTCTTCCAACATCAGGAAGAATGAGTACGTTGGCCCCAAAGAGGGGAGATAGTTGTCAAACCACTGTGTTCACTGCAAGAAGAAAATCTGCCATTGATGAAATGCTTGCTCCTACTGTGTTCCAGGTATATCATCACAAAGAAATAAAAGACTTTCTGAATTTCTTCTGTTCCAGGCACAGTTCCAAGTTAAAACGTTAACTCATTCACTCCTTAAAACAGTCCTATAAGATAGATGCAGAAGTCTTATTGCTAAGCACACTCAGAAATATTAAAAAATTGACCTAATATCACCCAGCAGTGCATGTCAGAGACAGGATTTGAACCCAGGTGGTCTAACTCCAGGGCGTGTAGGACAATAAAAAATAATCTCTGCTTTGGAGGAACCCCGTTTCACCTGATATGAGACAAATTCTTGTTACAGGACGTATATTCATTTTCTATTGCTCCCATAACAAATTACTACAAATTTACCAGCTTGAGACCACACCCACTTATCTCACAGTTCTGTAGGCCAAGTCCGGTAAGTGCAACTCAGCTGGGGTTTCTGCTTGGAGTCTCACGATGCTGAAACAAAGGTGTCAGAAAGGCTTTGTTCTTTCCTGGAACCTCCGGGGAATGAATCCACTTCCAAGCTCAATCAGGTGACTGGCTGAAGTCAGTTCCTTGTGGTTATCAAATTGACGTCTCTGTATCCTAGCGGGCTATTGTCTGAGGGGCAGTCTTTTCACCTAGAAGGCACCCACATTTCTCCTCATGCTTTCCAATTGTTCCTCCCCCAGCAAAAGCAGGTGAGTCCCTCTTGTGCTTCAAAGCTTTCTGAATTCTCTTCTTGTCTCATATTTCTTACCCCAACCCTTTCTCTGCTTTTAAGAGCTCATGTGATGAGACCCACTCATAATTCAGGATAATATCCTATCGTAAGTCCCATAAACTTAATTGCAATTGCAAAAGTCCCTTTTGTCATGTACTGTAACATATTCACAGGTTCTAAGGATGAGGGTGTGGACATCTTTGGGGAACCGTTCTTACAACCATGGGCAGCTGAAGGCAAGAGGCACTCGCGTTGTGTCATCACAGCGAATGGTGACCCTAAGTTTTGCCTTTAACATAGGCAGATACACCCTCTCATCCATATAACCAGCACCCAATAATGATAAGGGTGGGCACCACAATTCCACTATAGCTGTTAATTTGAATCCTCCCCCACCCCCCACTTTAATATCTACTCCCTACTTCATACCTGAAATTCTTTGGATTTTGATCTTCCTGTTTTTATCTCCCCTTTCTAACTCTGTCCTTGTCCCTCGGGCTTATTGAGGAACGAGGCTTCCCTGGTTTTCCCCCATGTGACCTAGCATAACAAGACTACTTTTGTGGTTGGCCAGGGGACTTCTCCACTTGCCTGACCTCCCCTGTTCTTCTCCAAGACCCACACTGCCCAGCCTCTGCTTACCTCTCCAGCTCCTTCTTGCTTTGCTACTAATTCCCCTGCAGGGCAGAGACCATCTTATTCACATCTGTAGCCACAGATTCTAAAATAGCAGAAGCAGAGGGTGAGCAATCAATACAAACTTGTTGAATTTTGAAAGGAAAGAAGATGAATGAATGGATACATGGACGGATGGTTGGACAGAATGGATGGATGGATGGGTCGACGGGTGGGTGGATGAATAAGTGAATTGATTGAACAAAAGACTTCAATTAGTTATTAGCATTGCCCTTTCCTTAGTGTGATGATTCACGAGTTAGGCCAACAGGGTGAAACCCAAATGTATTTTCCTTTATAGTTTATTTATTAAGCAAATATTTACTGAGTGCCTACTATAAATTAGATTCTATAATAGGTTCTTCTCGTGATAAATAAGACATGCTCCTTGATCTGAGAGAAGTTTGCTTTCCATCAGGGAGTGTGGCTACATACACAGTTGTTTCTGTTTCTCTCCCTCATGTCTTTGGACCCATCCCTTCCTCATTTACACTGTCTTTATTTCTAACATCCTGCCTCTCCTTCCTAAGTAACTCCCAGCCCCTCAACCTGTGCCAATCACTCTGGAAAGAAATAATTTTTCCTAGGGTTACATTTTAGAAACTATGTGTTAGGAAGGCTTTGGGAGCTGGCTAAATGTCTTTGTTGACAAGAAAGATAACATAAAATAATTTTAAAGAATTTTGTCATTTTGTCGTATAGTGGTTACTCTTTAGGTCATCTGCACTTAACTCCCATTCTTTCTGGCATAGATAGCCCAATTTTGGTGCTGGTTCCACAATCAGAACCAACTGAGAGAGACACCATATATGTGGCCAAATAAGATGACTGTGAGCTTTGGGGCCAGAGTGGCTGCGGTTTTATTATTGTTTCTTTTCTTTCTATTGAGGCAAAATTCAAATAACAAAAAATTAACCATTTTAAAGTGAAGACTTCAGCGGCATTTAGTATAATTCACGATGTTCTATAACCTCAACCTCTATCTAGTTCCAAAACATTTTAATTTCCCTAAAGGAAACCTGATATTCCTTAAGCAGTCACCCCCATTGCCCCTCCCCAAATCCTCTGACAACCACCAGTTTGCTTTCTGTCTCTGTGGATCTTTCTACATTGGATAGCTCATAAAAATATAGCCTGTATTAGTCAGTTTTGTGTTGCTAGAAAGGAATACCTCAGGCTGGGTAATTTATAAAGAAAATGAGCTTATTTAGTTCACACTTCTGCAGACTGTGCAAGAAGCGTGGTGCCAGCATCTGCTTCTGGTGAGACCTCAGGAAGATTTCACTCATGGCAGAAGGTGAAGAGGGAGCCTGCGTGTCACATGGCTAGAGTGGGAACAGGAGAGAGAAGATGAGATGCCAGGCCCTTTCCTTTTTTATTTTTTTATTTTGAGACTGGGTCTCACTCTGTAGCCCAGGCTGGAGTGCAGTGGTGCAATCATGGCTCACTGCAACCTCAACCTTCCGGGTTCAAGCAATCCTCCCATCTCAGCCTCCTCAGTAGCTGATGTGTACTACCATGCCCAGCTAATTTTTTTCTGATTTTTTTGTAGAGATGAGGTCTATGTTGCCCAGGCTGGTCTCAAACTCCTGGATGCAAGTGATCCTCCAGTCTTAGCCTCCCAAAGTGCTGGGGATACAGGCATAAGCCACCCTGCCTGGACTCCAGGCCCTTTGTATTGACTATAATAACAACCAACTGCCATGGGAACTAATAAAATGAGAACTCACTAATTGCCATGGGGAGGGCACCAAGCCATTCATGAGGGATGTGCCCCCATGACCGAAACACCTCCCACTAGACCCTACTTCAAACATTGGGGATCACATTTCAACACGGGATTTGTAGGGGACAAATATCCAAACCATATCAGTCATATGACATGTGACACTTCTGTGTTCTTTCACTTAGCATAATATTTTTGAGGTTCATACATACACATTGTAGCATGTATCAGTACCTCATTCCTTTTCATGGCTGAATAATATTCCATTGTATGGATATACCACAATTTATTTATACATTGATGGATGTTTGGATTATTTCTACCTTTTGGCTATTGTAAAATATTCTACTCTAACCGTGCATGCACATGTATTTGTTTAAGTCCCTGTTTTCAATTACTTGGGGTATATATGTAGGAGTGGAATTACTGGGTCATACAGTAATACTATAACTTTTTGAGGAACCACCAAACTATTTTCCACAGTGGTTATAACATTTGATGTTTATACCAGCAATGCACAAGGGTTCTAATTTCTTCACATTCTTGCCAACATTGGCTAATTTTTCTTTAATTGTAGCAATCCTAGTGGGTGTGAAGTAGTATCTCATCCCTTACCCATATTCTTCCTATATTACATTCTTAGGCTTATTCTTCAGAATTTTTGCTTCCTTATGCCAACAGGGGTCCCATCTCTAGGAAACCCTGTAGTTTTTACACACTCCAGTTGTATTTTTCAGGGGTTGGCTTCTGGGCTTTTACAAGACATCAGAAGATTCGAGTTCTAGCCTCTGCCCACAACTTGCTTGCTGCATAATTTGGAGGAAGCTAATTTATCTTGCATAGCTTCAGTTTCTTCATTTCTTTACTATCAGAGGATTAGCCTTTTCTCACAGGGCTGGTGTGAGACTCAGGTAGGCTGTGAACTTTAAATGCTTTGTTGTGCTATTGTTATTATTGGCCAGAAGGATTAGGTCTCTTTACACTGTGTTTGCCCAGCATATACTATGTGGTCATGATAAATCACCAATGAAAAATTAATGAAAAACTATTATTGTAATTATGAATTCACTGTTAAAGCTCATGGGAATGACATAGAGATGGAGAAGATATGATAGTTTTCTTTAAACAGAGAAGTTTAATAGATTGAAAATATCCACGCTGGAATGCATATAAACTTGGCCTTGTAAGAGGATGCCTGCCTCCCACACATGGTATAATCCTGCATCCACCTGCCAGGCTCACTAGGGACCCAGTCTCCACAAGGTACATCCTGCTAGCATCTTCCTGGTCATGGTGTAAAGTGGGAAGGCAAAGCTATTAAGGTATCAATTCATGGGCTGTCCAGGGCCTGGCTTCAAATAGGCAACAAAGGTACAGCTCTTTCCATGCATGGGATGCACGTGGTCCTCATCCCCACCTGGGAAACAGGTCCCCAGCCCCAACTACCCATAGCAGGTTCTGATGCTCACAGACCATGGTACTTCAGTTTCAGGATTAACACTCTAGATTCCCCCATGGTCTCTTTTTTTAATGCTTTGAAGAGAACCATGTTCTTATTATTATGTAAAAGATTTCATCTGTAATTTCTATGCATTTGGAACATGGAACAATGGTTTAGAACATGCTCATGTCTCCAAATGGACCTGGGGGAGTCTTTGTGTGATTCAATTAACCAGGCCTGTATGGTTCTTACCACGCTCCTCCATTGATAGATAGATAGATAGATAGATAGATAGATAGACAGATACAAACAAAGACAGATAATCAGAAAGTAACTATGCAAATCTTACTATGTTTGGTCTTTATAACATCCCTGTGTGGTTGATGGCATTATTATTCTCATTTTGCAGAAGAGGCTCCAATTTGACATATTCAGAATGCCCATGTGAAATTGGAACCTTATTTCATCCTGACTGCCGGTACCATTAAATGTGACATATGTATATATTATGTCGTTATGAGGAAGAGACCACACATGTCTGCAAATGCACACATGTGCACGCACATAAACACTCACACACACACTACATTTTTGGTCCATGCTACTAATCAAATGCCAAAAGGATCTTTGCTTAGGGCTTTGTCAACACTATCATTTACTTTTCATCTATTTAAATCACAGGAGAATTGTTCACTTGCCTTTCCCACTTGGATTGATGGGAGAAGTGAAGGCCTTTTCCGTGATCTCAGCCTATTAGCTGGCTACAGAAAGGGTTCCCTTTGCCCTTTCCCACTCCTTTTTCTAGGAGCCAAGGGATGTGTAGACGGGGGAGCCCTGGATCAGACAGTAATGGGCTGTAATGGAGTTCTCAGTTTGTTTTAACTGCCTGGGTCTGATTGCCTGTGAAAATGGTTTGGTTTTATGCTCTTTGTGAGCCTGCGTCAAGCCCCATTTGAAATAACAAGTGCCTTCCTTTCTCTTGCATCCGCTCAAAGTAGGAATGAGTGGAGGAAGGAGGAAGAGGGAGCGGAAGCGTCTCAGAGACTATGAGTGATCATGTACAGAGGTGAGTGTGCAGATGAGAGAAGCAGTGCTGAAAAAATGCCCTCAGGCTACCTGCAGGTTTGGCAGATGACAGGTGGAGTACACATCTGGTATCTTCCAAACTTCTCCTCCAACCAGCAGGTCTCCTGTGAAGCCTGGTCAGGAAGGCATTGGATGATATCTGACCCATTTCTGTGGACAAGGAAAATGCCCTCATGAGGGAAAAGTAGGAGAGGTCAGAGATTAGACTCACTACCCAGGGACACTATAGAGCCCAATGCAAAGCTTCATACCACCTCATCCTGGCTGCTTCTTACAGAGGCAGCTCTCAGAGCTATGATCTCAGTTCAGCAGACACCAGCCACATGTAGCTAATGAGCACCTGAAATGTAGCTGAATTGAAACATAAACCTGATTTTGAGGGCTTAATGTGATAAAAGAATACAAGATATTTCATTAATATTTTATATTGATTCCATGTTGAAGTGATATTTTGAATATATCTGGTTAAATAACATTATTATTAAAATTAACTTCACCTGTTTGTATTTGTATTAGTCCATTTTCATACCGCTATGAAGACCTGCCTGAGACTGGGTAATTCATAAAGAAAAGAGGTTTAATTGACTCACAGTTCAATATGACTGATGAGGCCTCAGGAAACTTACAATCATGGTGGAAGGTGAAGGGGAAGCAAGGCATCTTTTTCACAGGGTGACAGGAAGAAGTGCCGAGCAAAGGGGGAAAAGCCCCTTATAAAACCATCAGATCTCATGAGAACTCACTCACTCTCACAAGAACAACATGGGGGTAACCGCCCCCATGTTTCAATTACTTGCCACTGGGTCCCTCCCTTGACACGTGGGGATGATGGGAACTACAATTCAAGATGAGATTTGGGTGGGGACACAGCCAAACCATATCAGTATTTTATTGTGACTACTAGAAAATTTACATGTATAGCTCACATTATATTTCTATCGGACACTGCTGGTATAAAGACTCCCAAATCCAGCATCCTCTCTTGGGGGCAGCATAGATAAAACAGGCTGGGCATTCTGTGAAATTTTACAGACTACAGCCTCTCACCTGTCTCTCACCCACTTTGAGAAAGCATGTTAGACTGAAAAGGAGTGAAAGCTATATTATCATAGACATTACATTAAAACTAATCTAATGTTTCAGAAAAGTGAATTTTTCAACACTGTTTATTATTTTTGTTGTTTAATTAAGAACAAATTCTTTATGAAATACAGGCCTCAGTGAGGCCCCTCCATAGCTGTTGAGATCTAAGTTAATTTTGCCTTGATGACTTCTAATCCCATCACCCATGGGAGTCCCCAGTTCCTGCCAGTATTGAAGGTGGTATAGGCAGGTTAAGAGTTACGTTCTTCTTGTCTGTTGTGCCCCTTGGCCCCTGATTTTCTTATCTATCCACCCATCAACAGCAAGTAGAACAGTCACCATTCTTGAGGTTCTACCACAAAGAATCTATACACCAAGCATTTATGACTTTAGAAGACTTTGGTGAAGATTAGAGCAAAGGGGGCTTCCTGGAGAAAAGCTACATCAAGTTGTACAGACTTCTGTCATTTGACTGGTGTATCCGTCAGTATTTGCTAGGCCTGCCTCACCAGGGTGTTGGGAGGCATGAGTTTAGAAATATATGAGCTATAAAACCCCCTACAAATTTAAGGTCCCAGACAGGGTTGGCCAGAATGAAAAATATTATATCTCTCAGCTATGCAGGAGTTGTCAAATACTTAGAATATGCCCAGCAATGTATTTACAAATTGTGATGTGATACTATTTTGCAAGGCGTCCACCATGAAAATTAACAGGGAGACAGCATATCATTATAACCAAACGACCACTAGGTATAATCACACCATAGAGGGAAAATATTCTCAGTAACTTCAGCTGTCAGGACTATTGACTTAAGAGAATCATAGCCAGATCTAGACTCTCAGAGATGCAGAAATAAGGAGGATAAGGAGGAAGAGGAGGTGGGAGAGGAAGAAAAGAGAGGGAAAGAAAATGGATATTTTACAGCTCATTACTGGCAGTATATAAACAACCTCTGAAGTTTGCTGACTCTTCAAAATATGCCAGGCGTAAACTGGCATGTTGTAGGTGCTTTAATTTTTTTTTTTTTGAGATGGGGTCTCGCTCTGTTGCCCAGGCTGGAGTGCAGTGGTACAACATTGGCTCACTGCAACCTCCACCTTCTGGGTTCAAGCAATTCTCCTGCCTCAGCCTCCTGAGTAGCTGGGATTACAGGTGCCCATCAACATGCCCAGTTAATTTTTGTATTTATAGTAGAGACAGGATTTCACCATGTTGACCAGGCTGGTCTCAAACTGCTGACCTCAAGTGATCCACCAACCTCAGCTTCCTGAAGTGCTAGGATTACATGTGTGAGCCATGGTGCCCAGCCCAATGCCTTAATTAATCAGGATATTTAATACTAGTTGCTGAAACAACCCAAAAATAAATCTCAGTGGTTCAACACCACAGAAGTTTATTTCTCTCTCCTTCACGGTCCTGGAAACGTCAAATGGCTCAGGTGGTCAGCTCTGCATTGAGCATTTACCTGGAAATCCAGCTTCCTTGTGTCACATGGCTCTGCTAACTTAGAATCCTGCACTTCCAGCCACAGGGACATGGGAGAAGGGGTATTCACACATTAAAGAAAAGCACCATGCATTATCTTCCCTCCTTCTCTCTTTCATTTCTTTTTTCTCTCCCTCCTTTCCTCGTTGTCTTCTTTCTTCTCTCCTTCCATCCTTTTTTTTTTTTTCCAAGGAACACTTACAGAGCATCCTGGCAGACATAATGCTACAGGAGTGGATGGCGAGTGGGAAGAATAATAGCCTTAGTGGAAATTGGAAGCAGAGCTAGTCCAGCACAGTGTCTTCTTTAGGGTAGGAGACGGGGAGGGCCAGCATGTTTCCCTCCCACCTCAACAGATGGCCACCATGGGGGCAGTGGAAGAATCTGCAGGCTTTAGTTGAATTCATATTGGATCACACAACATTAGAACAGAAATGAACATTCAAAATCAACTCATTCAACTACTCATTTTATGTGAGAAGATGTGAGTCACAGAGACAAGACAGTTGCTGATGGCGCCAGAACTCAGGCCCCTCTTGGCAGAGTGTGGAGCTCCTTGGCAGCCTCCCCTCAGCAGGGTCCTTTTTGTGGCCTCTGCCCTCAGCTGGAGAGAGTTATGGCCACAGCATTCTGCACACCTGCTGTCTTTAATGTGCACCTTTCCAGTGGTTAGCACTCAGTTCTCCACATGGCAACCTTCTGGCAACCTCAAATATATCTCAGTTTATTTTGTACTCCTAAGAATAGCTTTATGAGCCCTTAATTGCTGTAGTGAAGGCTCAGAGATGCTTGATATTCCAACTTGAAACATAGTCAGAGCTGCAAGAAATAGCATGGCTTGAATTCAAAAAAAGCACTTGATAATACAAAGGTTGTGATTCCCCAGGAGAGCATTTTCTGCCTTCCCCATCCACACTGATGCCCTTGGTTTCCTTCCTTCCCTTTATACCAGCACTTCCCTTTCTTTGCTTTTTCTTATTTCCCCTGGTGCTGAAGGAACAAAGATAATATCTACTGAATAGTTACTGTGTGCTGGACACGTCTATCGTCATCACAGCATTCCCCTGAGGTAGATATCATCGTCCCCATTTGGAAGATGAAGAAACCGAGGCTCAGAATGCATATCTGCCTGATGTCACACAGCCAGGAAACAGAAGAACTGGACCTCAAAAAACTCTAGGCAGTCTGAATCCAGTGGCAATGCTAATTCTATCACTTAATTCCAACCACACCATTTCTCATTTTGCTAACGCCATCTCTGGCTGTTAATTTTAATACCTACATTTTCTTCACTCTCTCACTTAGTCCAAGAAGCCCTGGGCTTCATGTTTCATAGAAAAGGAAGCTACAAGACAAAGAGGGAAGTAGCTTTTACTTTCCTCTTAAATTATCTTTTGTAAAAATATTTTCTTGTCATTTTTTTATTAGTTAATTTCCTATCTCCATATTTAGGATTTTGTCTATTGTGCCCAGCAACTTCAGCAGTCTAAGGGCAGTCCTGAAGGCAACAGGCTCCAGAAAGAGAGAGGCACTTAAGGCCCCAATAGTGCCACCACTGCCTTCCTGGGCTCTTGCATCCTGAATGCCTACCTCCAGCTGCAACTGGCTTGGCCACTCTTTATCATGCATGTTGCATTCTTGCTTGTATGACCCTTCGTCTTTTGTCTCAAAGCCTGAGATGCCCAGTGCCACCTCCTCTGGTATATTCTCATCTACTTCCTCTCCCAGGTCCACCTTACCTGTCACCCCACGCTGTAAGTCTTCCCAGATCCTGCTTAGAAAGACCTGATCTCTTTCTATACCTGCCGCTTGTTGTCCAATTAGCCCCTTTCAACCTTGTATTATAAGGGTGATACATGCTTCCTACTGCCCCTAGCAGGGTTTGACAGAGAAATAGGCATTATTGTAATTACATGGGCTTTGGAGGCAGAGAGAATTGGGTTCATATGCTGGTTCTTCCACTGACTAGCTCTGTGACCCTAGACAAGTTATTTTAACTCTCCAAGCCTCAGCTCCTTCATCTCTAACATTAAGGTAATAATATCTCCATCATGGGTATTATGGGTGCTACAATAAGATGAGATATGGAAAGACTTTACAGTGTCGGGCACATAAGCAGCTAGCAAATAGCAGATATCATTATCTTTGTTACTAAATAAACATAAGTATGAATCCCAGCTCAACCTCTTACTAATCATTTGACTTTAGGTTATCTCCTTGAGCCTCGGATTATTTATCCTTAGAATAGGGATAACAACACTTATCATATAAGATTGGGATTAAAAGATGTCATTTGTAAAATGCATAGCACAATGCCCAACATGAGATGTCAGCATTTATTAAAAGTTTAGTGAATATGTCGCTAAATTAATAAATGGACACAACGATGGTTAGGACTAGGGACACAGAACAGATCAAATCAGAGGTAATTTCAGCTTAAAGACTTACTCATGTAATCAAATGCCACCTGTACCCCAATAACTTATGGAAAAATAAAATGTAAACAACAACAACAAAAAAACAGATGAATGGATATAGAAAATGTGGTACATGTACACAACGGAACACTATTCAGCCATAAAAGGAACGAGATCCTATCATTTGCAACAACATGGATGGAATTGGAGGTCATTATGTTAAGTGAAATAAGCCAGGCACAGAAAGACAAACATCACATGTCCTCACTTATTTGGGGGATCTAAAAATCAAAACAATCAAACTCATGGGGATAGAGAGTGGAAGAATGGTTACTGGTTACCAGAGGCTGGAATGGATAGTGGAAGACTGGAAAGAGATGGGGATGGTTAACAGGTACAAAAAATAATTAGAATGAATAAGACCTAGTATTTGATAGCACAACAGGGTGACTATAGTCAATAATAATTTAATTGTACCTTTTAAAACAAGTATGAGCATAGTTGGATGTTTCAACATAAAGGGTAAATGCTTGAAAGGATGGATACCTCATTCTCCATGATGTCATTATTATGTATTGCATGCCTGCCTCAAAACATCTCAGGTACCCCATAAGTATATATACCTACTATGTACCCACAAAAATTAAAAATAAAAAATGGAAAGCCTTGGGGGAAAAATCAAAGACTACATGACAACTTACTGAAGATCTTACAGGAAAATTCAAGCACAATAATTTTAAGAGCCATTTAGTAAGCACCTCCTAAATGTAAATATTTTACAATGGTATCTAACAGCCCTATGCAGCCATCATTATTACCCTCGACAAAGCTCCAATTTAGATTCAAGCTTCTCACGTCTCCATGATATCATTACTCATCAGGCGGGGGATTTCAGTTTTTGTTGAGAGTCAACATGCTCTTTGTCCAAGTGATGGAAAGGCAGCTAAACTAGTTTAAGCCAAAGGGGAACTCTGGTTCATATAGCATGGAAGTATATAAAACTCTCTGGAAACTGAAAGAACTCTAAAAACCCTATGTTCTCCAGAAGCCCCAACTCTACCCACCCAATTTCCATCTGTTAAAATTTGCACATAATTCAAGTGCCAAATCAAATGCTATTTCTTTTCCTTCTTTTTCATTTTCCTTCCCATGAAACACTGACTGCTCTATCCTCAAAATCCCCTGAATACTTTGTTCATACATTTTGCTACATTTATGCCTTATATTGTAGTGGTACCTATCTTTGTATTCACATATAGGCCAACTCAGTATCCTGTACATATTGGGTGCCAAAAATATTTTCAAATAGCTTAATAGATAAACCAAGAAATATATTGCCAAGTACATGGTTAAACAGGTGGATGTAAGCTAAAAATAGATCTAAATGGATAGATGGGTGAATAGACAGATAGGTGAGTAGATAGATAGTAAATATATTGATAGATGGAATTGTGGTTTGATGAATGGGTTGAAGGATGGGCAGATTAATGGGTAAAAGGAAGCATAATTTTATAGATGACAGATTGACCCATGATTTTTTGAATTGGTGGAAATATGGTTGAATAGATAGATGGGCAGAGATGGGGAGATGAGTGATTCAACCTCTGTATTTGACAAATACCTCTCTCTTTCAAGTATGTGTAGAAATCTACTTCCCTCTTATATAAATAAAACATGCAACTGGAACAATTTTCCTTAGTTTTATTTTTTCATGATAATACTCTTAGAAGATATCAGGAGAAAGTTGCTATTATGTCTTCTTTAGATGAAGTATGAAGAAATGCAAGTAAAGGATTTACCTGTTGCGGTTTTTCTATTACACACTGTAATGTGTTCAAGTATCTCACTGAAGAGGAAAAAGAAAAATAGATTTTATATAAATCTGTGAGAGTCCATTAATTTTGACTTGATCCTGAGATTCTGAGAGTGATGCCACCTACTTTATTAGGGATGGAAGAAAGAAGTTAGGGGTGAATAGAGCAGGAAGATGAACTGGTTAATCACTTTCACTCATGAGGCAAAACGCCACTCCAAGATGCAAATCCTGCTCATTTCCTTTAACCCGCTTTCTGCTTGCACACCTGCCCCTGGGCTCAGCTGCTGCCTCTGCTTTGGAATGAGCAGCAGCAAAGCTGAACTCTGGAGCTAAGTCATCCAGAAACATCATGCAAGTTCTTAGTACTAAACATAGCACCAATGTTCTAGTCTGACTAAATTGAAATGGAGTGGAACCACCACTACCCTGGTATTAAATGTAATATGTTTCCAATAGGTTAAGCATTCTTGGGGGCAGGCAAATTTAGGTTGGTGTCTGAATTATTTTTCTTACTGAGACTTTTGTTTCTGTAAACATTATAAACATGGTTCCTTCTGCCAGCACCCCCCACTCCCCCCAACACACACAATCTTTCTGATGAAACAACTATCAATTGTTGGAGAAAACATTTTGGTATCTTTTTGAATGCTGCTTTGACCTGGAAAGAAGGTCAGTGATACTCGTAACAAGGACCTAGAAATGCAAGCATAGCACTGAAGCTGCTGACTGCCTGAAGGGCATTTTCTGATCTCTGTGAAACTTAGGTGTAAATGTTTACAGTTTTATACAGCTCAAAGACAAACAAACTCCAGAGTCTGCCCAAGGTAAGTCTAGCATAGGATTTCCCAATAAAACCAAACCCTATAAAGCTTACATTTTCAGTATATGGGAGAATTATTAATAAATACCCATCTCCTGGAGGACTCCAAAGAAGTTCTCCCATCTCAGAAACTTCTGCGTAAATGGGGAGGAAAAGTTTCCCACAAGAAGTTATAGACAGAAACCAGCTATCATGCAAGCTGCAGTCACAATTCACTCTATCTGTTGAACATCTAGCTATGAATTCCTTTTAAAAGGGTCCTACTCTTATAGATCCCGTCCCTAGGCATTTGGAAAAAACTTAGGTAAATCTTTTCTGGAAAAACCCATCTCAAAAAAGTACATATCTCAGTAAAATAAAACACTAGCTTTGTAGATTTGTATAGGATAGCTCCCTCTCACTTCCCTATAGTTACCATCTTTCAAAATGGTAGACTCTGAGTCCAAGATAATATAGCTTTCTTTGGAGGGAGAAAATAGAATGGAAGGATAAGAATAAGAAGGAGGGGAGAAGGAGGGAAAAAGTAGGGGGAGCAAGAAAAGGGAGAGGAGCAGGAGAGAGAAGAGGAGGATTAAAATGCAGAGTACAGAAAGAAACATAATTTATATGACTGCTGCTCTATTGCTGGACATAAGAGTGTGACCAATTTTGATTAATATACATAAGGCTGAAAAGAATCCCTTTACACTCAAATATTTGACTCTATTATTTTTATTTACTTGGAATAATGTCCTAAAATTACAATTGCTGAGTTGAAGTGAATAAATATGTTTATGTATTCCAATTCCCAATGAGATAATTAGTATAAAGAGCCTTCTGAACATCAAAGTGGTAAAATATGAATTCGAGCCTTAACTGAAAATCCCCAAAATGGAAGCCAATATTCTGAGTTGCTAAGCACTACTTGTTATCAGCTATTTTCCATGTTTTTCATGTCTGGATCACTCTTTCCCACTTATGAGGACCCCCTTATGCCTCATTCTCTTACTACACATAAATCAAATATTACCTTCTCAAAAGGAATTTTCTTGACCCTCTTGGTTGTCTATGTCCCCCTCCTCCTGCCTTAGCCTTACCCAACCCTATCTTACTACTATGTTCCTTGTTTATTTTTAGCCTCCTACACTGAAAGATAAAAGTGAAAGATATTTGTGCCTGCTCACTTTGGTAACCCCAGTGTTCAGAACAAATATGTAGGATGTAGTGGAAGCTCAATAAAATTTGTTAAACGAGTAAGTAAATAAAGACTATTTTCCCTGCAACATCATCTTAATGAAAAGGCATTGCGTTGATTTTTCTTTGTTCACTAATTCTTTTAATCACCCAAGAAACACATGTGATAAGCTCCACTTACATCCCATTTTACAGACGCAGGAATTTTGCAAGACAAAAGAATTTGTTAACATAGTGGCTTTTACTATATGTTTTTATACTATATATCGTGTATATATATAGTATATACACACACTATATATAGTGTGTATATATAGTGTTATATATATAGTACATATATATACACAGTGTTACTACATATAGTATATATAATACACAGTGTTACTACATATAATATATATAAGTGTTACTACATATAGTATATATAATACAGTGTTACTTTAGTATATATAATATATAGTGTTACTACATATAGTATGTATAATATATACTGTTACTACATATAGTATATATAATATATAGTGTTACTGCATATAGTATACTGTGTATAGTATTACTATATCAGCATTACTATAATATATTATATATAAATACATATGGTGTACATATAACTATAATATTGTACATATAATATATACTATATCTAGTAATACTATATATAGTCATTTAGTACTATATACAGTAGTACTAGATATAGTATACTATATATACACTATATATACTATATACTATACAGTATGTATATACGATACACACACACTATATATAGTGTGTATATACAATACACACACACTGTATATAGTGTGTATATACGATACACACACACCCTGTATATAGTGTGTATATACGATACACACACACCCTGTATATGGTGTGTATATACGATACACACACACTGTATATAGTGTGTATATACGATACACAGACACACTGTATATAGTGTGTATATACGATACACACACACACTGTATATAGTGTGTATATACGATACACACACACACTGTATATAGTGTGTATATACGATACACACACACTGTATATAGTGTGTATATACGATACACACACACACTGTATATAGTGTGTATATACGATACATACACTGTATATAGTGTGTGTATATGATACACACACACTATATACTATATATACACACACTATATATAGTGTGTATATACTATATATACTATATACACACACTATATATAGTATGTATATACTATACACACACACTATATATAGTATGTATATACTACACACACACTATATATACTATATATAGTATAGTATAGTATAGTATATATGGTATATAGTATAGTATAGTATATATAATATGTATAGTATACTATATATACTATATAGTGTGTGTATACTATATATACACACACTATATATAGTGTGGGTATACTATATATACACACACTATATATAGTGTATATATAGTATACAGTATATGTATAGTATATACATACTATAGTGTGTGTGTATAGTATATACATACTATATATATAGTGTGTGTATATAGTATATACATACTATATATAGTGTGTGTGTATAGTATATACATACTATATATAGTGTATGTGTCTATAGTATATACATACTATATAGTGTGAAGTATATAGTATATACATACTCTATATAGTGTGTATAGAGTATGTACACACACTATATATAGTGTGTGTATATAGTATGTACACACACTATATATAGTGTGTGTATATAGTATATACATACTGTACAGTATATAGTATATATAGTATATATAGTATATATACTATATCTAGTACTACTATATGTAGTACTAAATGACTATATATAGTATTACTAGATATAGTATATATTATATATACACTATAGTTATATATACACCATATTTATATATACTATATATTATAGTAATGCTGATACAGTGATACTATATATAGTATGCTATATGTAGTAACACTATATATTATATATACTATGTGTAGTAACACTATATATTATATATACTATATGTAGTAACACTATTATATATACTATATGTAGTCACACTGTGTATTATATATACTATATGTAGTCACACTGTGTATTATATATACTATATGTAGTCACACTGTATTATATATACTATATGTAGTCACACTGTGTATTATATATACTATATGTAGTCACACTGTGTATTATATATACTATATAGAGTAATACTATATGATATACTATATATAGTAATACTATATATAGGAATGCTATATATACTATATATAGTGCTATATATAGTATTACAATTTATATAGTATTATAACATATAGTATACTATAAAACTATATAATTATATATACTATATATTATACTATAATACTATAAATATATATAGTATTAGGAGGAATTTGTGCATGCTATCTTAATTACATTATATAAAAACTATCAGAGCAGAGTGAAGTCATGGCGAGAACATGGGATTCGAAATCAGGTCCCCTGAATTCCAGCTCCTGTTCTGCTTCTGTCAAGCTCTGTGACTTTGGTGGAGTCCACTTTCCTCATCTTTAATGTGGGAGCTCTTCCTTGTCTCACCAACTTCATGGGGTTATTGTGAACATAATGAAGTTAATAAATGTAAAAGTTCTTAGCAAGCTCTAATTTGGCTCTATACAAAAGTTCCATACAAATCTGGCTGTACTTTTATAACTATACCCTTAGGCGAACTAAGTCTAAAAGACCTGAAGTTTCTGGGCTTCCACGTTTTTCTCTGCATATTTCATTTGCCTGACTTTGGTGGACAGGATAATTAATATTAATATCCAGGCTTCATGAATTATGCACCTGAACCAAGACATTTTTCTTCTACCTTTCCCATCTCATACTTCATTGCACAGGCTCAATGAGCCTCAGCCACTAACAAAGACCCTGCAGAAAATGAAGACAAGATGCATCCTTAGGATGGCAGAACATGTGGCTGTCCCCCACCAGGCACCAACCACTGCCAGAAGACAGGCTAGGTGCATGCATATGCTAGTATGCATTTAATTTCCAAGTGTGGATCTCAGTCTTCACAAAAACCCCATTGCATCATTCACCACCTATTGATTCAGTGCCTG